>NC_000004.12:131951684-132254714 GCF_000001405.40 Homo sapiens | reverse complement strand
GGAAGCATCACACTACTCAACTTCAGAGAATATTACAGTGCTACAGTAACCAAAGCAGCATGAGACTTGTATAACAACAGACACATAGACTAATGGAACAGAACAGAGAACCCAGAAATAAGGCTGCATACCTATAGCCATCTGATTTTCAACAAACCTGACAAAAAAAAGCAATGAGAAAAGATTCCCTATTCAATAAGTGGTGCTGGCATAACAGGCTAGCCATATATAGAAGATTGAAAGAAGCTGGACCTCTTTCTTTCACCATATACAAAAATTAACTCAAGATAGATTAAAAACTTAAATGTAAAACCCAAAACTATGAAAACCCTGGAAGACAACCTAGGCAATACCATTCAGCACATAGGCATGGGCAAAGATTTCATGACAAAGACATCAAAAGCAATTGCAACAAAAGTAAAAATTGACAAATGGGATCTCATTAAACTAAAGAGCTTTGGCACAGCAAAATAAATGATCAACAGAGTGAACAGACAATGTACATAATGGGAGAAAATTTTTGCAAGCTATCCATCTGACAAAGGTCTAATATCCAGCATCTATAAGGAACTTACACAAATTACAAGTGAAAAACAAACAGCCCCACCAAAAAATGAGCAAAGGACTTGGACAGACACTTTTCAAGTGAAGACATACTTGTGGCCAAGAATCATGAACAATTGCTCAACATCACTGATTATTAGAGAAATGCAAATCAAAGCCACAATGAGATATCACACCAGTTAGAATCGCTATTATTAAAATGTCAAAAAATAACAGATGATGATAAGGTTGCAGAGAAAAAGGAATGTTTATACACTCTTGGTGGAAGTCTACATAAGTTCAACCATCGTGGAAAATTGTGGTGATTTTTCAAAGACCTGAAAACAGAAATGCCATTCAACCCAGCAATTCCATTATTGGACATATACTCAAAGTAATATAAGTTATTTTATCATAGACTCCTGCACACAAATGTTTGTTCCAGCACTATTCACAGTAGCAAACATACGGAATCAACCTAAATCCTCATCAGTGTTAGACTGGATAAAGAAAATGTGGTACATATACATCATGGAATACTATGCGGTCAGAAAAAAGAACAAGATCATGTCCTTTGCCAGAACATGGATGGAGCTGGAAGCCATTATCCTTAGCAAAATAATGCAGGAGCAGAAAATCAAATACTGCATGTTCTTACTTATAAGTGGGTGCTAAATGAAGATAACACATGGGCACATAGAGGGGAACAACACACATTAGGGCCTATTGGAAGGTGGAGGGTGGGAGGAGGGAGAGAATTAAGAAAAATAACTAATAGGTCCTAGGCTTAAAACCTGGGCGATGAAATAATCTGTATGAAATAATCTCCATGACACAGGTTTACCTACATAAGAAACCTACACATGTACCCCTGAACTTAAACTAAGTTAAATTGAAAAAGAGAGAGACAGAGCATTGGAGTCAGATTTTCTCTTTTGAATTCTGTAATTAAATATCATTTTAGTTATGATATTCAAATTCTCTACAGTCCCTTTCCTGATCTGTAAAAAAGAAAGATGCCAATTTTATATAGGTGGATAAAAAATTTCATGACGAAATGCATACAAAACTTAGCAACAAAAACCAATTTTGAGTGTTTACATTATGCTAGATATTCCATTTTAAACACTTTATAGGTATTAGCTCATTTGATCATCACAGCATCATTAAGAGGTAGCTTCTCATCTCACTCTCTCATAATGATCAATAACAATAATTGATGCACAGAGAGGTTGAATAATATGTGCAATGTTGCGCAGCAGGTAAATTATAGACCAAGTATTAATACTTTGTTCGAGTGTCCAGCATCTTTTTTAACCACTACGTTCTACTGCTTGTTATATAATACATTATTGTTTTCTGAAGGGTTCGTATTCAGAGTACCTCATACAAAAAGATTATAAACTAATTAAAATGAACACTATAGAAGAAAATATAACACCCAAATTTGTAATTTTATTGAAATTGCCAAAATTCCCTTTGGTTGATATCTTTTCCTTAGTCACTTACACATCTTATGAAATAAATTAGACAGATCTTTGATATAGCGTTCTGTAGAGGCCAAATACGATATGCGTTATTTCATACCTGTTTGAATAAAATGTAATAGAGAAACCAAAATTTAAACAATGGGATTTTAGTATTTGTTTCCTTTCAAAAGGATCTCCATTATATTATAGTTAAATGTAATCTTTAAAAGAGAAGTGGATAATTTTTTTGGAAACAAAAAAATAACTTAATTTTGTGGTATAGTTTAATATTTGGAGAAATGAAATTATTTTAAAAAGCAGCAAGTAAAGAGGGATAAATTCAATTAAAGTTTACTAGCTATAATATTTTAATCTCAAAACAAAACAATGTCCAATAAGGAAAATATATCAACTCTTTTTTTTTTTTTTACTTTTGCCTAATAAGTCAAAATTGCACTATTCTTGGAAGCCAGATAGCTTTTCATAAATCTTATAATCTTAGGGTTGGATAATAAGGACTCTTGAATTGTAATAATAAGGAGATCTATTTTATCTTTTGCTGTTCTTCTAAATGAATGAACACTCCACAGTCCAAAGATTCTCTGTTAATTAATAGAAAATTCATAGTTTTATGGTCACTTTAAGTTGTAAAATATAGTTACTAAGTTATACTTAGAATATCTAGGTTTTATAATATCCAAAGCTTCCAGTTTGTTTCAAAGTTATAGGTATCCCCTTCCCTGCCACCACCAGTCCCAGAGAAATATCAGATATGTGAAGAGAAATGTGGTCAACTTTTCATTCCTTGGCTTACATTTTTTCTATCGGCTTGCTAACTGCTTTTGATAGAATTTTGACCCATGACCAGTCAAATTTTTACATGGAATCACAGTTCAGCAGCACCTTTCTTCAAAGAAATCTTAATATTTCCTCATATCCATATACTCACAATTGTTTTAGACTCTTGCTGTAACTGAGACATTTAAATGTAGCAAATTGATCCTTGGTACTTGCTTTCTGCAGAATGATCTGTCTCACAATATACATTTTCATTTAATTTTTATTTTAGGAAACCAATAAAAAATTCCATGTTAACACCCTTTTTACTGGAATTTATTTGGAGAGGAGAAAGAAGAAGAAACATAAATAACTTGTAGTCAAATTTCCCTATGGCTAGCATGCTAGTTGGCATGCTCTTTTTGCCAGATAATATTAGTGTCCCATCAAAATTCTTAGTATTAAATACGATTAATTTAAAAGTGTATTTGATTTTAGTAACATGAAGTTGTTTCCATGTATAATTCCATGACCATGTCATCTCCATGATATATTCCTGAATATACATTATGGAATTAGTTTTCTCCAGGTATGGCAGAGTTATTATTCAAAGTGTTTACACGTTACTCAATAAATTCAATTCTCTAATCAATATATGGATATGTTACAGGTTGGGCTATGGGATGCAGGTCTGGAAAAGAGAAATGCACAACTATGGAAAGACATGATATCATTTATATGAGTTTTATATTAAGGTGTAGTCTTTCTCTGCCATCACTCCTTTCTTTTTCTCACCAATACTTACTGTGTATTGTGGCAGTCACTACCTATGAACATCCACCTCCATGAAGACTAGAAGTAAATAACTGTATGCAAGGTGACATTTGTTATACCTAATAGTCTTCTTAAATTGTATCTTTTTTTTTCTTGATTAGAATTCAGGCAATTTCTTGCTGCTATTATATATATAGTTGCTCTCTCTGTATTACTTATATCCAATGAATTGGCAAGAAAACTAATTTTATTCATGTGAGAAAATCTCAGTTGTTATTTCAAAATAAATACTTTTGAATTAGTTATCAGTGTCAAATTAATTACATATTTACAGGTTCTTTTAAAAGAGCAGAAAATAGGCAACCCAAGATCCAGTACTAGATAGTAAGAGAAAGACTCACTGGAGCTGGAGAGGAAAGAGATCATTCTGGGAAGAAGAAAGAGTAGAAGGGTACTTTTGTGTATTAATATTAATAGGAAATATCCACTAGAAATGTGATGCGCTGAAAGAGCAGGGAGGCCAACCTGGATAATATCCTTGAATAGACAACAGAGGATGATTGTAAAGGGGCTGTAAAGGGGTTAGCCATAGTAGCAGTATAGGCAGTTTGTTTATTGTAAGAGGCCAGTATAGGCAGTTTGTTTATTGTAAGAGGCAGAAAGGAAGAGTAGATAGACTCAGATTTTGAAAGATAGATGATTGTGGTTGTGGGAGCTTATAGTTCTCTCTGATTGATTCTATTTTCGTCTTGAAATGGGATAAGTATACTTGCTGAGAGTTAAGCAGGAAAAGGAATGTTGGGAAATTACATAATAGAAAGAGGAGGAGAGAGATTTGACTGGAGAAATACAATAAGATTGCTGAATTTTATAATCATAAAATGAGACCAGTAGATATGGTTGCTGGACGTTATTGGTAGAATTTTGTGATATAGCTTTTTCATCTCTGTGAACCACAATTCAATGATAAAATGGAGCTTTAATATTTACTCATTATCATTTTGTTATTAGTACATCAAAAAATTAAAATTTTTAATCAACAAAATCAATTGTTGATTACAGCAATTAATTTTTCTGATCAACAATGACATATGATCAATAAAAATTGAATTCTTCATGTAATAATAACAAAATGTTGCTGAGTAAATACTACCGAACCTTATAAATAGCCAAGTCTAATTAATGAGCTAATATCTTGTGTTATCTGCAACTGTATTTTGTGTAATTTTCACAACTCAGACTAGTACGTTTCTCATGAAAACTGATTATTTAGAAGTAGTTCCATGTGTGACTGAGAGCTATTTTTGTTTTTCATTCTCCCATAACTTACGAACTTCAAAATTACAGGATTTCTTTTTTCTTTTTCTTTTTTTTGAGACAGAGTCTCGCTCTGTTGCCCAGGCTGGAGTGCAGCAGCACGATCTCTGCTTACTGCAAGCTCCACCTCCCGGGTTCACGCCACTCTCCTGCCTCAGCCTCCCGAGTAGCTGGGACTACAGGCACCTGCCACCATGCCCGGCTAATTTTTTTTTTAATTTTTTTATTTTTAGTAGAGATGGGTTTTCACAGTGTTTGCCAGGATGTTCTTGATCTCCTGACTCGTGATCCGCCCACCTAGGCCTCCCAAAGTGCTGGGATTACAGGCGTGAGCCACTGCAAAATTACAGGATTTCTACAGATGATTTTCAGATATCTAATTATCTTAATACTATTAGGCAATGCTACAAGGAATACTGGAGGCAGCATGCTTTAATCACATTCAGGACCTCATAAGTAATGTTTTTTGTATATGCAGAATTAAACAGTAATTTTATGGGAGAAGAGTTTAACATTTCTTGTGCAGAAAAAAGGAAAGATCTTGATAATTTTTTCTTGAAGACTCTACCAATAATGTGGATTTGTTGCATGAATTAGGTATTTTGTGGCTAAGCTTATTTATTTCTTCAGTGTGAATGTTAAAAATAGTGCTTATTTCTCTTTCTCTGGTCCTTTCAAGTATATAAGAATGGGTTTCATTTGAAAAATGTTTTCTAATTTGACTTATTCTAATCCATAAAAATGGAATTTACAAACCTGTCAATTGACTACTGAAATCGATCCCTTAGTATGTATGCTATTTTCTTCTATATTTTTATTTCTAAATAACAGCAGTGGTCTTCGTTAACTTACACAGAGTAATTTTTTAAATTTTAATTTTTGCTTACTTTCCATTTATTCACATTGCATGGATTGTTATACTTCCTCTATGGGAACATTCAAAAACTAATACAAGCTGAGATTATATTGTCTGACAATTCAAGTATTTTAGTCTTAGAAAACAATTTTCTATTTGAAGTAAAAAACAAACAATTATTCCATTTGATTGCTAAGGAGTTTTACGTCTCAGTTACAATTTTGTCTGCATCAAATGGAGAGTCCTTAGTCCTCAACATGATTGTGACTGGCTGAGAACATACAGTGTCCTGTGTTCAGAGCACTAGATTGGAAAAACCTCGCTATCATCTATTAGGACTGTAGGACAAATCAGTTTCTACATAAAATCCCCACTTCCAGAATGAGAAGACTCATCAAGGGTTCAGGAGTTTGCAAAGTCTTCAAACGCATCCTGGTTGAATTTTGACTATATAGAGTAATTTAATCACATAACCTTGTCAATTTTTAATGTAAATATTTATAATTCATTCAAAAAATGTATTGTGAACTTTAACGTATGCTGTATGAACTGTAGTATGTGGGGTATAATAAAAATAGACTATTCAAAAGAGAAAGGACATAGAATAACTGTGAGTAGAAAAAATAATGTGTCAAAACCAAACAATTATGAGAATTCAGGGGAAAACAGTATTATTTTTATATTTTCAGTGTAAGAGTCTTAGGGGAGTGAGTGTCTGAACCTTGCCTTGAAATGTGTAGAGGATTTGGGAAAGTTTACATTGTGAGAGCACATGGATAATCCTGAATCATACACAAGGGGATGAAATCAGGAGCAAACTTAAAAAGATACTTGGTTGAGAATACCTCCTAAATAACACATTAAATGTATATTAAAAGGGAAAAAATAAATTAAGCTATGTTGCATGGCAACTCTTTTACAATTGGGTACTTGGTAGATTTGCTGAAAGAGTTGGAGAATGGGGAAAATAGTCAAATGGCATTTCAAAGCCTGGACATGATTATTTATATTTTAATAGAAAATGTCAGACTCAAGAAGAAATTGGGTTGAGTAGTATTGGGGATGTAGACCACCTGTAGGCCTGAGGAAAATAAATTATTTTTAAAACAATCCTGGATGACTGGGATGATATTAATACCATTTAAAAAATTAAATGAGTTGGAAGAGCAGTTTCATATTTTATTTTATTTTATTTTTATTTTATTTTATTTTATTTTATTTTATTTTTTTCTTTGTGATGGAGTCTCGCTCTGTCACCCAGGCTGGAGTGTAGTGCTGCAATCTCGGCTCACTGCATACTCCACCTGCCGGATTCAAGCGATTCTCGTGCTTCAGCCTCCTGAGTAGCTGGGATTACTGGCGCCTGCCACCACATCTGGCTAATTTTTGTATTTTTAGTAGAGATGGGGTTTCACCATGTTGGCCAGGCTGGTCTCGAATTCCTGACCTCAAGCGATCCACTAGCTTTGGCCTCCCAAAGTGCTGAGATTACAGGCGTGAGCCACCCACACCTGGCCAAAAGAGCAGTTTTAGAAAGGAGGATGATAACATCAATTTTAGATATGGGTTTGAAGATTCCTAAGTGAAGAATGTGAGTAGGTTTTTGGAAAATGATCACTTTGAGGATAAGAAGTTACACTTATATATATAGACTTTGAGATCATTCATACATAGGTAGGGTTAAAGCCCTAAGGTTGGATATGATAGGGGGACAGTAGCAAAGAAGAGATAGGAAAACAATCCCGTAGGAAAAAACAACTTTAAAGTATTAAAAAAAGGCCAATAGAAAAGTATATAGAGATTATTTTTAACTCATAAGTCATGTATTTCCCTGATAATTTTAAACATCCATGAAGCTTCAAATTATATCTCCTTTATTTGTTTGTTTTTAAATTACAAACTTCAAAGTCAATATCTTTTGGTTAGAGGTCAGTTTACAAGAACACTACCATCTTTTTCCTAATTTCAATATCAAGGCAATTCTAGAAAACTACTAAGTTCTACCTAGCACAATTTTTTCCAAATAAGAAAATATTTTTATGACAAGTATATGTGCCTCAACATAAGTATAAGATCTAGTTATGTGTTATTCAAAAATACTTGGTTTTTATAAACTACACATAATAATTGCTCAAAATATTTTTCAAATTAATATATAAAAATACAAGCAGGTTTAAGACTTTTTTAAAAAATGAAGTGTTGAAATTAAACACAAAATGATTAATCATATGATTTCTCCTCACTCCAACCATGATGATATTACAATAAAATAAAATATTCCCCAAGGTAATATAAGTTCCATTGAGAAAAAAGCAATAATAATAACATAGTTATCAACATAAAATTCTCCCTACAAGTAGAGATTATAACTTTAGAAATGATTATTAATTTACTGTTTAGTAATTTTAAATTAGCTCAAACATATGGAAAACAGAATGTAACTAGTGGATTGTTTGTTTGTTTTGTTTTGTTTTGTTTTGAGACAGAGTCTAGCTCTGTTGCCCAGGCTGGAGTACAGTGGCACCATCTCAGCTCACTGCAACCTCCACTTCCCGGTTTAAGCGAATCTCCCTGCCTCAGCCTCCCAATTAGCTGAGATTACAGGTGCACGCCACCATGCCCGGCTAATTTCTGTATTTTTAGTAGAGACAGGGTTTCGCCATGTTGGCCAGGCTGGTCTTGAACTCCTGACCTCAGGTGATCCGCCTGCCTCGGCCTCCCAAAGTGATAGGATTACAGGCGTGAGCCACCGCGCCTGCACTAATACTTTGCCTTCAAACCATAGGGCTTACAAAGCATTTATTGAGCTCTGTAGCTGAAAATGCCATTTCATATTTAACAGCCATGATGGAAGTCCTTTATTATATTCATCTGCCATAGACACCCTCAGGTCATATTTCTTCCCCTGTCACAATATATTTACTTTTATCATAAGTTTGTCATTCTACTGTATTAGAATAAAATAACTGATGGTTTAAAAATTATGAATTCTCTTATAATGGCCCTTGATATCTTAAACTATTTTGCTATATTTCAAACCAAATATTGATTCTAAAATATTGAAAAATACAAAAAGCAAAAGGGGAAAAATCTGAATTTGGAGATAGTAAATTTTTCCCATGCTCATTGACAAGACCATTTTTCCTGGCATAAGCCAGGGTTACAACCTGGTTTACACAATGCATATAACTGTCTCTTTGACTGATTTAGAATTAGCACTATTATATGGAATGTTGCCTTTTTAAGCTAAGAACACAGGAAGAAACGGGATGAAAATAGCAACTTGAAAGGATAATCTTGAGGATCCAAAAGGATAACAACTCTGCCTCTGTGCTTTTGACCTAGGTACAGTCTCTTTTTAAACAAATAGATAATCAGGGAGAAACACGCAGCAATAAGGAAAAGGAGAGTAGCTTAACCAGATGGGCCAAATGAGCCTGATAATTAAACATTTGACAAATATTGCCCCCTGTTTACCCATTCATCCTGGCATGACTCAGAAGAACAGATCATATGCCTGACATTGTAAACTTTGGTAAATTTATAAGGCATAAAATGAAGCAAATAAATCATAAGACACAGATAGCCAGTAAGATATTTCTCAAGAGCAGAAATTCCAATTTGCGCCTTTCAATGATATAGTTGCCAACATTTCTGTTTAATTCAAAATGTCCCTAAATATGGCTTTAGAAAGACCAATATAGTTTTTAAACTAATGCCTAATTTTCTCTAAACTATTCATACAGTGTTTTTGAAAAAAATTGCTAAGTATAGTAACATTTCTAAGCTAAAAATCTCCTGCTCAACTTATTTTGAGATTTAATCATCCAAACACGAGTAGTGGTAAACAAATTTTTAAAAATCAATGAATTGAAATAATTCTTCAGTGCAATTAGTTCACTCTAATGGCAAGAGTTTCAATAGCAAAATAGTCCCTGAGGATCCGATTGTTCTTGGAATGAATTTTATTTAACCACTCAATTACATCTTCATTCTTTAAGGCACTGATTCCAAGAAGACAGTGCTATAGATTTATTAGGTGCCTTGCAGTCTAAATAGTAGCTGTGTGTGTGTGTGTGTGTGTGTGTGTGTGTGTGTGTGTAACTGTGTGTTTCCTAAGCAGAAAAGCCAAACTATTTATATCTTGAACTTTGAACATTAGTTCAAGACAAAAGGCAATTTAGAAAGTAAGAACACAGGCACATTACAGATACAGAGGTATCTTGATAATGGGAGTACAAATAAACCTTATCATCTAAACTGTGGAAATAAAGACCTACTATTTTAAATGCACCTTTGAAAGAAAAATAAATATACTTAAATGTAAAAAACATTAATCATTTTATGTTCAATGTTCCTTCTGTCTCACAGTCACTGATGAAGAGGTACTTCAGTACAAATGATTTCAACCGATCCACAGAGCTATAACTGATTTTAGCAGGGATAGGCACCTGATCTGAGGTTGAAAGGAAAAATAAAAATTATAGTCAACATTCTAGTCTATGGGGACTCATTAGAACAAAATCACTCTGAATGTGCCAGAAAACAGGAAGAAACTCAGATTCTTAGCAGATATATCTATACCAAAAAGATAAATAGAGAAAGTAACCACACACTGTTAATGAAGATTCATGGCGGGGAAGAGTTGAGGGAGTAGTCACTTATGCAGAGAACTCCTAAGTCATTTTATTTATTATTAATCATCCATTCATACCTCAGTGTAAATAGCTTTGTATTCTTATCACCTCAATGGAGAAGAAGGGATTCCCTAACATCATACTGATAATTCAATGAGTATAATTTTTTTCTAGTACTTCATAATTCTCTTACCCTTCCAACATTTCTTTTCATCTGCTTTACTGTTCTATTCCATATGTACCTATCTATCAAAAGAATTAAACTGTCTCTAACACTTAGAACAATTTAGGTTCTTCCATTGGGCACATTTCACAAATCCACAATTCTAAATCAAACACACAGAATATCTTTGTTCTAACATCCAACTAGGTATGCTTTACTGGAGAACACAAAAAAATGACAATTAGAATATCATAACCAAACATTAAAATTTTGAAGCATAGTGGTTAGAAGCATGGCTCTGGAATTAGATTTGTTATTAATTAATTAATCTATTTATTTATTATGTCCAACATTTATTTTAGGTTCAGGGGTAAATGTATAGATTTGTCACGTGGGTAAATTGTGTACCATGTGGGTTTGGTGTACAGATTATTTTGTTACCAGGTAAATGAGCATAGTACCCTACAGGTTGTTTTTCCTCATTCTCCTCTACCCTCCACCCTCAAGTAGGCCCTGGTGTCTATTGTCATCTTCTTTGTGTCCATGTGTACTCAATATTTATCTTTCAATTGTAAGTGCTTATAAGTGCTTAGGATAATGGCCTCCAGCTGCATGCATGCTGCTGGAAAGGGCAGGGCTTCATTCTTTTGGATGTCTGCATCGTATTCCATGGTTTATATGTATCACATTTTCTTTATCCAGCCACCATTGATGAGCTTCTAGATTTAGTCCCCATTTTTGTTGTTGTGAATAGTAATGCCACGGACATACACGTACATGTGTCCTTATGGTAGAACAATTTATATACCTCTGAGTATATATCCAGTAATGGGATTGCTGGGTCTAATGGTAGTTCTTTCTGTTTGAAGTTTGTTGAGAAATCTCCAAATGGCTTTTCACAGTGGCTGAAATAATTTACAGTGTAAAGCATTGCATTTTCTCCATATCCTCATAGGAATGTTATTTTTTTACTTTATAATAATAGCCATTCTGACTGCTATCTTATTGTGGTTTTGATTTGCATTTCTCTAATGATTAGTGATGGTGAGAATTGTTTTATATGTTTGTTGGCTGCATCTATGTCTTCTTTTGAGAAGTGTCTGTTCATGCTTTTTGCACAGTTTTTAACAGGGTTGTTTGCTTTTGGCTTCTTTGTTTATGTTTCTTATAGATTCTAGATTTTAGACCTTTGTTAGATGCATAGTTTGCAAATTTTTCTCCAATTCTGTAAGTTTTCTGTTTACTGTGTTGACAGCTTCTTTTGCTGTGTAGAAGGTCTTTAGTTTAATTAGGTCTTACTTGTCAACTTTTGTTCTTGTTGCAATTGTTCTTGGAGTCTTTGTCATAGAATCTTTGCCAAGGCCAATGTTCAAAGTTGTGTTTTCTAGGTTATCTTCTAGAGTTTTTATAGTTTTAGGTTTTAATTTATATCTTTAATCCATTTTGATTTTTCTATATGTTGAAAATAAGAATTTCAGTTTCAATCTTCTGCGTATGGCTAGCCAGTTGGCTCAGAACCATTTATTGAATAAGGAGTCCTTTCCCCATTGCTTGTTTTTGTCAACTTCGGTGAAGATCAGATGGTTATAGATGTGTGGCTTTATTTCTAGGTTCTCTATTCTGTTCCTTGATCTATATGTCTGTTTTTGTATCAATACCATGCTGTTTTAGTTACTGTGGCCTTGTAGTGGAGTTTGAAATTGGGTAGTGTAATGCCTCCAGCTTTGTCCTTTTTGCTTAGGATTTCTCTTGCTATTCAGGCTCTTTTTTGGTTCCATATGAATTTTAGACCATTTTTCCCCTAATTCTATGAAGAATGTCATTGCTAGTTTGATAGGAATAGAATTGAATCTAACAGTTGCTTTGGGTAGTGTGGTCATTTCAACAATATTGACTCTTCCTATCTATGAACATGGAATATTTTTTCATTTGTTTGTATCAACTCTGATTTCTTCCAACCGTGTTTTGTAATTCTCATTGTAGAGATTGTTCACCTCCTGGTTATGTGTATTCCTAGGTATTTTATTCTTATTTTGTTTATGTGAATGGGATTACATTCTTGATTTGGCTCTTAGCTTGGAAATTATTGCTGTATAGAAATTCTACTTATTTTTGTACATTTATTTTGTATTCTCAAACTTTGCTGAAATTGTTTATCAGGTGAAGGAGCTTTTGGGCAGAGGCTATGGAGACTATCACATAGTCTGCAAACAGAGATAGTTTGACTTCCTCTCTTCCTATTTGGATGCCTTTTATTTCTTTCTCTTGCCTCATTGCTCTGGCTAGGACTTCCAGTATTATGTTGAAGACTTGTTTTTTAGTTAGACTCCAGACTTGTCTTTTAGTTAGACTCCATTCTCCACTTCTACTTCTATGAACTTTGGGAAATTGTTTTGGTTTCTTCACATATAAAATGGACATAATAATAGGACTTACTTTAAAGGTGTGTTGTGCTTATTTAATATGTTTATTAAATAGAAAGAAAAGCCATTAGCATATTTTGAGCACTCAGTAACTGTTATTTTACTATTACCCTTACTACTACTACTGCTACTAGCACTGCTACTCTATGTGAGTTTTCAAACTCACCTTCTTTTATAACACCATGCACTCACTTCTTGACTTATCATTGGCTAGGTCTTCTGGTAGGTATTATCATTTTTTTCACAATTTTTATATTCCTCTCATGTCTTTCCTTAGTTTCCCTGTGGCTGGATTAGACTTTCCTGGCTCATAGATGGTGTTCTTTGCCAATGGAATTAAATATATGTGATGTAAACAAAATGTTTAAATGTGTTTTTATAATTTTGCTTTATTTTTTAGTTTCATTGTTTGCAATTCTCTCCTCTTACATGCAAATAGCATGCTCTGTTGCCTCTGAGTTCCAGAATGAGTGGACATAGGAACATAACTGAAACCAACTTGCAGTTAGCCATATGCCAAAACCAATTGAACCTAGGTAACTCACAGTCAATTTTCAGAACTTGGAGGAGGAAATATATATTTGTTTTATAAACCATTGAAATGTTAGAAGAATTCATTGTCTCAATATTATCTAACTAATGCAGAAACAGGTCCTGCCTTAACTAAAACTAAAATATGTGATGTTGGCTTCCGGGCTGGGTATCAGGCAGAAGGAAAACATTTGGAGTTGGAAAATGTAACCCATATTACGTTCTGGTAAAACATTTGATACAACTATAGCTTACGATAGCCCAGAAAACAGAATTCACACAATAAACTTGTGGTATTTCCAGACAAAATTTTGGTAGTATAAATTGGCTTGTATAAACATTTTGCAAAGTACTGCAATAATGACACATGTTCAGAAAGGGACTGACTGGTGTACAGGAAGAAATATAGAGTCCCCACAAATCCCTAGAAATGCAGTCTTGGAGAGTGGAAATATTTCTCTACAAATTAGGGCAGTGACCGTCTGATGTAGCCTTGGAACAAAGATCAAATCATGGGTATGACTGTTAGATCATGTAGTAAAATTTCTGTTTAAGTTAATAGAAAAAGAAACCATATAAAATGTCCCTAAATAAGAGACTAACTGTGGTCTCATGGAAGTCTAGCAAACTACATTTTACCAGGTAAACCTGCATTTTAAATATAGTGAAGTTGCAAAACACTCAAGAATTCAAACGCACAATTTTTGAGATAGAAATGTTAATAATCATGCCAGTCTGGATTAAGAGAGGACTGACAAATTAAGATGTAAAAGGACCAAAGGACTCTCAATTTGCTAGCATTAAGAAGCACGCTGAGATTGCTATTTGCCTGAAAAAATAAGCGTATTATCTCTCCAATGTCCTCTTTAGAGTGTGGCCAAGGAAGACAAGAATAAAAAGGAACTCTCTCAGGAAGCAAAGCTGAGTGCAGTGCACAATGTACTGGGAAACTGTTCTCAGCAGGAAGTACAGGCACATATTCAAGAACAATATCTTCTCTCCAGAAAGAGGGAGCATATGCACTTGCCCAGATCTTATAATTACTATGGCTCGAAGATTAATGTACGCCATTCCTTTTTGCCTTTATGGCAGGGACTAGAATGTAGTGAGTGAGGTGCTTGCCTGGGGTGCAAAAGCTCAGTAACTTAACTAATAATATTCCAATAAATATTTTGAAAAATCAAATTTAATGCAAAACTACCAAAGATAAAATATATTTAAGAACTATCAAAGTACTAAAACATTAATATGTTTGTAAAAGTTTGGATCAGTATTACTGATTTTATTTCCTCAAGATTTAATTTAGGTCAATATGGCTCAGTTTCTAATTCTGAAATTAATATTTTGTTCACCATAGATTTTTCTGTTAATTATGTTTCTTTAAAATTGTGTTTAAAAGCCATTTTTCTTGGTTACAGAGATTATTGACATGTTTTTACATTTTGTACCCCAGCCAAGTGCTTCACTCCTGTAATCCCCGCCTTGCTTCCTGATTCTGAGCAGAAAAATATATTGAAGCTGTGCTGATTCCGTTTAATCATTTTATGGGGCTGAGGCATATGGAAGGAGTAGAAAAATTTCATTAGTCTCCAGATCAATAGAAGTAGTATTCATACTCAATATAGATCAGAAGATCCTGGATCACAAACCTGGTTTCCTGAGACATTTGGAGTTTATGGGTAGAGAGTAATATATTTTGCTTGCAGAATGAAAGCAATAATTGTGGCCAAAAATAAAATCTACGGTATATGTTGTAGATATGCATTTTATTCATAGATCTTTCCTCCAAGGCCTTCTCATGGCTACTCTCTACATATTGGGCATAGATTTTTGACCTGATGTGGTTAGTGGAGTATAGGTAAATGTTGACCCAAGACAAGGGCTTACTGTGCCTGCATAATTTAACTGGTTCTCTTACACTCTTACGCTGTGCCATGAAAAGTGCAAAATTCATGTATCTTCTGATGCCAGAATGAGGGACACGTGGAGCAGGCCTGAAGCTTACTCACAACTAGGGCCAAGCCTAGGCAAGATCAATGGACCCATAGACTTGCTGAGACAAAGTAGAGACAAAACTTGACCCCACTAATATACATTTCTATGCATACCCGGAAACAACCAGGCCTTGCACCCTCACCCCCACTGGTGCCAAACCTGCTGAAACCTTGCAAGTTATTTAAGAAAGTTAAGATAAGCAATATTTTGCTGCAAATCTTGTCCAAAGTAGTCGACCCTGCCACCTGCATGCACACAAGACCAGGAGGATGACCAAACATAATCTTTGCCTCATTATAACACTAAAATATTTGCCAAAGGTGGAGCTTATCTGCTATTTTCTGACCATGCAATGTATGTGTCAGCATGAATACTTACTACACCTGTGCACCTGGCACTCCACCCTGCACATATAATGACACTGCACAAATTATTCATGTTACCCTCCTCAAAACACCACAAAGACCTACCCTGGGGGAGCCTGTCAGAAAACTCTTCCTCCAGAGCTGTCTCCCTTATGCCCAGCCTTTTAGAGCATAAATCTCAATAGACCTTATTTGGGAAAAGTTTGACTGCCTTCATGTTAATTTATATTACACTGAGAGCCAAGAACCTTGCACCAGTAACATTATGAGTGAGAAATAAATGCTTGCTGTTATAAGTACTAAAGGGATTTTGTTAGGCAATATAATCATATAAAGGTGAAGAGTAGAGGTCTCTCTTTTGTCTCTCTCAACATCTAATTTAAATCTGTGGACAATCTTCTCGAAGTTTTGAACCATCCTCTGTCCACTTCAGTTATCAGCATATGGACTTGTTACTATTTACTGAAAAAATAAAAGACACCAAATGTCATTTTTCTCAATCTTTTCATGCCACTAATCTCCAAATTTAGTGGTGCATGCTGTCATTCCTTTCTTCATACATCTTCTCAAATGACAATTTTCTACCTCTTGAACTTAATTCATTCACCTGTGATCTGGATCCCTTGACTTCGAAATTTTCAGGGACTTCAATGAATTGAGTGTGCTGGTCACTCACCTGTATCAACAAGCTCTATATCTAACTTGAATGTTATTTTAAGGTTATGAATATGTTCATGTATCTCTCATTTAAGTAAAACTAACCCTGGATGTTTTTCTAAACTTGTACATCAAAAGCATATTGTGCTATTTGTATGTCTACTTTCCTATATTCCCTTCAAGTGCTAGAGTCCAGTTGTAACGTTATTTCTGATTCTTTAAGTTTATTGAAGTTGTATAGCCAAAAGTCACTCTTTTGATTCTGCATATTTTAATATGCACATTACAGCACAGATATCATCTGCTGTCTTTACAGCACTGCTGAATATTTTCTCATGTAACTCTTTTAATTTATTTATTTTTTACCATTCCATTGCAGGTGCTTAACTCCTTTTGTACATTCCTTTAATATGTATGTTTTAAGGTACTTTTAAAAATCTTTTTTATATTTTCATGCTACACATCCCTCCTTAGACATTGCTATGTTCCACAGTTATACTAGCAGGTAACAAGTAGTATGAACTTATCCTTTCTAGATATTTTCACTGAGCTATAGTCTTAAATATTCTAGTGTATTCTTAGCATGAATATGCCTCAGCCTTCTTTAATTTACCATACACAAAACAGGTACTTATTGTCATTGCTCTTTTTTATATAATTTCTGTCTTGGCTGGTTGTGAGGCATTCATCAGTCTTATAAACATACATCATATAAAACCTTTCCTTCTTTTTCCACATCACATTCGATCTATCAGTAAATTACATTGGTTAAACCAAAATCTTGTCTTTAATCTATATCTTCTCCCTGCAATTTAATTTTTAATCTTTTAAAGATTAAGATCTCTTTGCTTCTTATTAAAGAAAACCACTACAGAAATTATCAAAACACAAGTAGGCAAATTAAAAAGTGGTAAACATTTCACAGAAGTGATAGAACATGTAACAATGTCTTTGGCAGTGTTCAACCTAAATGTAAATACAAATTAAGCAAATTTAAATACTTGTGAATAGTTAAATACTTGTGAATGCTTTGCATATGTTAATTTAGAAAATAATAAAATAAAAATATGAAGTACTTATAATGATATTGATGCACTCAAACACCATTGGTGCATCATATATTGTTTCAATTTACTTGAAATTTTGCAGAGCCACAAATTTAAATAGCCATAAAAATTCACATTTTTTAATCTACTGAGCTCTTCTTCTCCATTTCAGTAATATATTCTTAGAAAATGTTCAAGATTACAACATAATGCTGTTAACAAACATCTCTGACCAGTATTCTGATTTGGAGGACTTTGCTATTCACAAGATTGGCTGCATAATTTGCCGGCTCAGAGACACATGAAAATGTGGGGCTTCTTGTTCAAAAATTAATTATTTCAAAACAGCAGAGCTTGAAACCAAGCATTGGGTCTTTCTGTATGTAAGGCTCTGTTCAAGAGCACAGGTCACATATCCATAAGGCTGGCTGTCCAATGTATCTGCTTTATTTATTTTCACGTTGTTATGTATTTTATAACTTTGTATTTCCTTAATTTATTTTTATTTTTAATTTCAATAGCTTTAGGGTTACAAGTGGTTTTTGATTACATGGATGAATTATACAGTAGTGAAATCTCATATTTTAGCACACACATTACTCCAGTAGTGTGCACTGTACCCAGTATGTAGTTTTTTATTCTTCATGAGCCTTCCCTCTCCTCTCTTCTAAGTCTCCAATGTCCATTATACCACTCTGTATGCCTTCTTTGCATACCCATAGCTAAGTTCCCACATACAAATTAGAATGTATGGTATTTGATATTCCATTCCTGAATTATTTCACTTAGAATAATGGCCTCCAGCTCCATCCAAGTTGCTGCAAAAGACATTCTTCTTTTTTTCTTCTTTATGGCTGAGTAGTATTTCATGGTGTATTTATAACACATTTTCTTTATCCACTTATTGGTTAATGAGCACTTAGGTTAGTTTTATATATTTGCAGTTGTGAATTGTCCTCCAATAAACATACATGTGCAGGTGTCTTTTTGATATAATGACTTATTTTCCCTTGGGTGGATACTTGGTAGGATTGCTGGATTGAATGGTAGATCTACCTTTAGTTCTTCGAAAAATCTCTATAATGTATTTTATAGAAGTTGCACTAATTTACATTCCCACCAACACTGTGTAAGCATTCCCTTTTCACCACAACTACCCCATCTATTGTTTTCTGACTTTTTAATATGGTCATTCTGGATGAGGTAAGGTGGTATCTCACTGTGGTTTTAAATTTGCATTTCCCTGATAATTAGTAATATTGAGCATTTTTTTCTTTTCATTCATTTGTTGGCCATTTGTGTATCTTATTTCCAGAAATGTCTATTCATGATGTTTGCCCACATTTTGATGGGATTATTTGTTTTTTGTTTTGTTTTGTTTTTGTTTTTTTCCTGCTTATTTGTTTGAGTTTCTTGTAGATTCTGGATTTTAGTCCTTTGTCTGATGCATAGTTTGCAAATATTTTCTCCCATTCTGTGGGTCTTTTGTTTATTCTGATGATTATTTCCTTTGTTGAGCAGAAGCATTTTAGTTTGATTAGGTCCCATTCAGTTATTTTTGGTTTTGCTGCACTTACTTTTGCAGTCTTAGTCATTAATTTTTTGCCTAGGCCAATGTCCAGAAGAGTTTTTCCTAGGTTATTTGTCTAGAATTTTTATGGTTTGGTGTCTTAGGTTTAAGTCTTTAATCCACCTTCAGTTGATTTTTCTATATAGTGAGAGAAAGGAATTCAGTTTCATTCTTCCACATGTACTTATTTAGTTTTCTCAAAACCATTTATTGAATAGGGTGTCCTTTTCTCTATTTTTGTTTTTGTTTTTGTATGCTTTGTCTAAGATCAGTTGATTGTAAATATTTGGCTTTTATTCTGGGTTCTCCATTCTGTTCCATTGGTTTATGTATCTACTTTTATACCAGCACCATACTGTTTTGGATACTACAGCATTGTAGTATAAATTGAAGTTGCTTAACACTATGCCTCCATGTTTATTCTTTTTTTGCTTGGGAATGCTTTGGCTATTTAGGCTCTTTTTTGGTTCCATATACATTTTAGGATTGCTTTTTCTAATTCTGTAAATTTCAGAATAATTTTCATTATTCTGAAAAGTGATATTGGTATTTTGATAGAAATTGCATTGAATCTATATATTGCTTTAAGAAGTGCGGTCATTTTTATAATGCTGATTCTTCCAGTTCATGAGCATGGAATATATTTCCATTTGTTTGTGTCATGTATGATTGTATTCATCAATGTTTTGTAATTCGCTTTGTAGGGATCTTTCATCTCCTTCATTAAGTATAATTAATTTTCATTAAGTATATTATTAGGTATTTTACTTTTTTACAACTATTTTAAAGGGGATTGAGTTCTTGATTTGATTCTCATCTTGGTCATTGTTGGGCTATAGCAGTGCTACTGATTTGTGTACGTTGATTTTATAACCTGAGACTTTACTGAATTCATTTGCAAAATCTAGAAATCTTTTGAAGGAGTCTTTAGGGTTTCTCAGGAATACAATCATATTATCAGCAAACAGAGAGCTTGACATCCTTTTTTCCAATTTGGATACATTTTCTTTCTTTCTCTTGCCTGATTGCTCTGGCTAGGAATTCCAGAACTATGTTGAATAGAAGTGGTGAAAGTGGGCATCCTTGTCTTGTTCTAGTTCTTAGGGGGAGCATTTTCAACTTCTCCCCATTCAGTATAAAGTTGACTGTGGGTTTGTCATATGTGTCTTTTATAATTTTGAGATATCTTCCTTCTATGCCTAGTTTGTTGAGGGTTTTTAATTATAAAAGGATGCTGGATTTTATTGAATGCTTTCCCTTTGTCCATGGAGGTGATCATAAGGGTTTTGTTTTTAATTTGGTTTATGTGATGAATCACATTTATTGACTTTCATTATGCTAAACCATCCCTACATCACTGGGCTGAAATCCCACTTAATGATGGTAAATTACCTTCTTGATGTACAGTTGAATTTGATTTGCTAGAATTTTGTTGAGGATTTTTGCATCTGTGTTTATCAAAGATGTTGGTCTGTATATCCTTTCTTGCCTTGGTAGCAGTGTGATGCCAGCTTTATATAATGAGTTATGGAAGATTCCCTGGTTCTCAATCTTTTGGAGTAGTGTCAGTAGGATTGGTACAATTTTTTTGTGAATGTCTAGCAGAATTTGGCTGTAAATTCATCTGGCCCTGGGCTCTTTTTGTTGCAAAATTTTTACTATTGATTCAATCTCACTGCTTGGTATTGGTCTGTCAGGATTTCTATTTCTTTCTGATTTAAGCTAGAAGGATTGTATGTTTCCAGGAATTTATCCATTTCCTCTATATTTTCTAGTTTGTGTGCATAGAGGTGTTCATACTAGTCTGAAATAATGTTTTATATTCCTATGGTATTAGTTGTAATTTTCATTTCTAATTGAGCTTATTTGGATCTTCTCTCTTCTTTTCTTGATTGATTTAGCTAATGGTTTACAGGTTACATGATTTTCTCAAAGGACCAACTTTTAGTTTCATTGATCTTTGTATTTTTTTGTTGCAGCTTCATTTAGTTCTACTCTAATCTTTGTTATTTCTCTTCTTCAGCTAGCTTTGGGTTTGGTTTGTTATTATGTCTCTAGTTCAAGGACTGATGCTAGGTTGTCAATTTGTGATCTTTCAGCTTTTTGATGTGGGCAAACAGGGATTGAATGCCTGTAGAAGAAAATACTCTGCTATAATATCTGAGACATCAGAATGGTTCAGGGTAGTAGTAGTTACAAAGCAATGGAATTACATGGCTTTTACTGAGTGAGACAGATGTATTTGAGAACTACAATGACAGGTTGAAGGTGATTAATTACCAGTTTAAGGAAGAGTCTAAAAGTCAGAGGGCCTATTTTATAGCACATAAAAAGAGTCTTATCTTTTGGAGTCAGAAGGCAGAGAAAGTTTAGGATCAGGCCCAAAACTTAATTATAAGGCTAGCAGAGATCCAGAGAAATGTTGAATTCTCAATCCTGGATGGTCTGTCGTACCAAGTCAGGGACCTAGTTGGCAAGGATTAATGCTTTTTTACTTAACACAGGAATATCCAAGCAACATACTTAAGAACGTTGAACCTTCAGATTCCCCAAGACCTTCTAGTTTAAGGAAGTTTTCCATTGTTCCCTCTTAAAGGCTAGCAATCTCCTCCTCTCACCCTCCACTCCTTTCCTGAAGATGATATGGAGCCTGTAGCTTACAAAGCAAAATCAATCCCCTTCAGAATCTACACATACTTTTTACTTCCAACCCATAACTAGAGTAAAATCACAAATTAATCCAGTCTGGAAAGTGCCGAGTCGGCTTTGTGAGGACAGTTACTATCCCACAAAAAGCTGAAGACCTATTAATTATTAATCAGCAGGAAACAGGACAATATGTATGAGATTAAATCCTGAAGGTGCAGAATCAAAGGCGAAGGGATATAAAGTTGAAAAGGGGATAGCTTATCCATCCATACGGGAACATGCTCATGTGAGAGAAAATTTAACACCTTGGCAAGGTCCTAATAATACAATATTAATGCACTGCCAAGTGGAATTTTGGAAACTCAAAAAAATATGTTAGCTTACACAAATTGAATTAAAACTGGCAGAACAACCATGGTCCACCATGGGAATAAGGATCAAAGGGCTCAGGAAAATGAGAATAAGAGAATGGATATGTTATGCAAGATCAGAAAATCTACCTGGGGACTATGGCCCATGGGAGGACCCAGAAGATACTCACTTCCCCAAAATAATTAGAAATGTGTCATTGAGAAAGGTTTTAGGACAGAATGGATAATAGGAGATGTTACAGAATCGTATTCCCTATTATCAGTGTAGATGATCATATATCAAAACAATAGAGTATTGGACCTTAATTATGAAATAAAGATGGACAAATTTATTTTAATAAATGGCAAGGTAAGATTGATAGCATAGGGTGCTTAACCTTCAGAGAGTTAGGCAAATTCTTCACAAGTATAGTGTTACGAAATAAGTGGGCATCGACATCTTCTCAATTTCTAAAATTTAACAAAATAGAGTATTGATGATGAGGCCCCTAGCTTAATAAAAAATCATGACTAACTTGCCCATTGTCTGGAATGGAGTCATTGTTTTAGTTCTATATCCTATTGAAGGAAAGTATATTCCTCTGAGGACCCTGATTATCTCATAGAACTTGATTTAGATGATGATATTCTCAACTTCAAGCATAAGACTGATGCCATGAAGGAATGAGGCTTCTGGGGGAAAAGGTCTTGTGAGAGGGCTATGAGTATTGTGCATTTGGTAGGTACGTGAATTGTCAGAGAAGAGTTCTAAAAACTATTTTTCCTTAAATGACAACATTATTTCCTATCACAAATGGTCTTCCAGAACATTGGCAGTCTGCCATCAAGAGGTGGCTAGCTCTTTCTAGCTTTTAGCCACACAGCAGCCATTCTTTGCTCTTAGCAGCTCCAACTTCTCTGGTAAATTTCCTCACAAACTGTGGCAGTGTTAAAGTTTAACATTACAGTGTATGCGTCTCTGTTCATCTAGAGTGCTATGATCAGCTTGGGCTACACCTCCTTGCATTCCAGTATACGAAGTACCCCAAGGAAGAAAACCAGGGGATTAGTAGGAGTCTGTCTGTGTGTTTCCCTTCTGTCAGTGATCACTTTCCAGAACTACCTGTTATTCAAAGTCAGAAAAAAATTGTGTCATATATTTTATTCATTTTTATATTGTGGATTGTGAAAATAAGAACCAAGACTGTGACTGTTGGTACATAGCAAAAGGTCTAATATCCAAAGGTCCTCATGATACAGTATTAATGCACTGAGTCTGTCAGTCGGTGATCAGTCGTTGGTCCAGAAAAGCAATTGACGACATGATTGGTGAAAATATCCCAATGTGGTGATTTGAAAATATCATGAAAGAAGAGTTTGAGCATTTCCATTTCTCTACAAAGATCCTAAATTTATCAAAGGAGATTGGTCAAAAGTGCACAGTCTCTTTTGCAGTTCTACTATACTTTACAGATCTGCTATAAAGTCCTCAAACTGACCTTCAATGCAGTCTTTCCTACTGCTGCAGGAGCAGGATGTGGGTAATGGAGGGCTCTTTAAATGCTTTCCCAGAGACCTTCTGGCTTTTATTGTACCTATGAAGTTAATTTAAAAATTAATAATAATAATAAGAGGCCCAGATCATCAAATTTATTTAAGGCTTTTACAGTTATTACAAAAGCTATATTGAAGTCTAAAGTATCCTTAAATTATGTACTTGAACTATATGTTCAAAGTGTTAGAGCTATTGAAAACTCAATGTTTTACTTTTACTTCTAATTAGTCACAATCCACCATACATCAGAGTCTTTCTACGTTTGATACTACAGCCCTCCAGAAGTCATCACTCTCCTTACACCAGAAATGTGACTAGCAAGCTATCCACTTCCAGAATCTCAAGAGGCTACTTTCTGCATGTATTTTATAAAGCACTTGACTGTTTTTCTTTTCTTTTCTTATTTTTTTTTTTCTGGAAGCAGGGAATGAGAAAAAGACTCAGCTGTAGCTTATTAATTTGTAGTATCATTTCACAAAGCAGGATTTAAGGAACAGGTAGATCAGGAAAAAGAAGAGGAAAAGCCAAACTAAAGGTTCATTACTGAGGTCACTGCTGTAGACAATGTAACCATCGCTACTGCTGATTCATTATTAAACCTAGAATATGTATCAAAGGCAACCCAGAACCGTTGGTTTATTGTGAAAATCCCAGATCATTTATTGCTTCCATCTGTTTTTGAAGGTTGCTGTCTTGGGGTGCTCTCTGCATTTTCTGGGACCGTAGCAGTAGGTTACAGTCATGCTGCACTGTATTCAGTTCTGAGTCAAAAAGCAGAGCTCGTGGTTCATGCAAACTTGAAATGAGTGGCTAGTACCATGAGGTGAATCTGATCGCAAGAAACTGACCGCCACAGCTGAAACTGAAATCAGTTGTGTGCCAGAGGGCTTTAACATGGGCCACCAAATGTATCTGCTACAACTCACTTTTAATATTCTAAGGGTTTGGTTACCTGACTAGTCTATTATCTCTTTTCCCATTCGCTGTCTTTCTGGGTAAATGCCTTTTTGATTCCTTTAATTTTATATTGCTAGGAATTCTGGAGTGAGTAGAGATAATTGCTCATTTCACTGGAGATACTAAAGAAGCATATCTTACTGCCTATTTTTTTTAAAAAGGTACTTTGAGTAAATCATTAAATAATTTGCACAGTCATAAAATAACATTCAAATGCAGTTAATTATCAAAGACCAAGATTTACAATATAGATTATGCTGTCAAAAAAATCAAATAACACATTCAATTTGTTTACACGCCCAACCTTAATATATGTTACCTCTCAGAATTAAAGTACACAGAAAATAATTTAGATATTTCACTGGTGTACTTTTCTATCTGAAAATATAGTGCTATCATAAAATAACATTCAAATGCAGTTAATTATCAAAGACCAAGATTTACAATATAGATTATGCTGTCAAAAAAATCAAATAACACATTCAATTTGTTTACACGCCCAACCTTAATATATGTTACCTCTCAGAATTAAAGTACACAGAAAATAATTTAGATATTTCACTGGTGTACTTTTCTATCTGAAAATATAGTGCTATTTTATAAAAAAATGTAAACTCAATATAAAGCCCAAATATATGTGAAAATCTTAAAATTATCATTATAATTTTGACTTTGATAAAAATGCTTTGTTGATAGTATATGAATGCAAAGTTTTTCAGGATAGACTATGTTATTTTTAATTAAAATCATTAATGGCCTAGTTCACTGCACTGTAAGAATCACATTTTTCAAGAATATAAAATATATTTATATTATTTATAAGATTAAATTTATGAAAATTACTTGTAATTTTTTGATATACATTTGACACTATACATTGTTTTAAATACCAACTGAAATTGTATTTATTTACAATTGTCTTTAAATAGAGAAAATGCCTCAAGGAGAAAATGCCAGTCTTTCTTTCTTCAACTGATAAATAATTTTATGACAATAGTGATCAATTTTAAGAAACATAAATTTTAAACCAAGATCTATCAAATAGACAACTTCAACAGAATATTTACTGTTATTTTTGTCTTTAAAGACCATAAAACTCTAATAATATTCAGTAAAAAATTTGTGTTTCTAACAAAACAATGAATAATTTGACTGAACTGTATTGTTAAATATCTTCAGCTTGACATGTTGCTAGTTAGGTTGACAGGTTACATGGAATTATAGTACATGCTCACTTGGCTGATATTACATATCATTAGAATGATTCAAGCAAGAGAATGTTAAAATTCATGTCCAACTAAATGTGGCATAAAGAGAAATATATTACAAATCATGCTATCATTTTCAGCATCTGCTAATGATGTTAATTATGGGAACATACATCATATAATCTTATTGTGATAAGGTTTTCAATTAGACAGTTATCTCAGAAGTAAGAGTGTCCATTGCCTCCCTTAACTATCCTCACCAATTATTACATGCTGGGTTATTCAGGTAGCAAACTGTGAGATGGACAATAGCATGTGGAAGTCTATTAGGGAATATTCTTACAATTTTATGTTGACTTTGGATCCATTTTGAATGTAAGTTTAACTTTCTCATACCAGAAGCTGAGCTCAGTCACCCTTGACACAATTTCCAGTTCTACACCACAACCAAATGGCTAAGACTGTGGCCAGGAGCTTAAAGACATCTCTTCCACCAACCTGACTTGGCTTCCCACTTTCCCCTCTGCTTCTGCTTCCTTTAAACAGACCATTCAGGTATTTGTCCATTGTGGGTGGCCAGCCACCCAGGTGCCAAGGCAAGAGACCAAAGGCACAAGCTGTTTCAGTATAATAAAGAAAATATATAGAATAAGAATAGTTATACTAGAAATAGATTATAGATATGATTATATATGAATATCATTAATCATTGGTTTGTAGCATTACTCTTTATTCCAATATTATAATAATCTTTGCTCTACAATTATAACCTAGGAAAAACCAGGCCATACAGAGATAGGAGCTGAAGGGACACGGTGAGAAGTGACCAGAGGACGAGTATGAGCCCTCTGTTACGCCCAGATAGGGCCACTAGAGGGCTCCCTGGTCTAGCGGTAAAGCCAGCGCCTGGGAAGGCGCCTGTTACCTAGCGGACCTTGGTCTAGCGGTAGCGTCAGTGCCTAGGGAAGGCACCGGTTACTTAGCGGACCTGGGAAAGGGAGTCTCCCTTTCCCTGGGGGGTTAGAGAAGACTCTGTTCCACCACCTCTTGGGGAAGGCCTGATATCAGTCAGGCATGCCCACAGCCATCCGGAGGCCTAAACGTCTCCCTGTGATGATGGGCTTTAGTGGTCATGCTCCTGTTTCACTTTCATGTTCCACCCTGTACACTTGGCTCTGCCTTCTAGATAGCAGTAGCAGAATTAGTGAAAGTCCTAAAAGTCTTTGAAATGCATAGAAGAAATAATGGCTTAAGGTGTCCTCTCTCTCTCTGCCTCGGCTGCCAAACAAGGAAGGGCCCCCTGTCCAGTAGACACATGACTCACATGACCTTATCAATCATTGGAGATGACTCACACTCCTTACTCTGCACATTTTGCCTTGTATCCAATAAATAACAGCACAGCCAGGCATTCGGAGCCACTACCAGTCTCCGCGTCTATGTGGTAGTGGTTCCCCAGGCCCAGCTGTTTTTTTCTATCTCTTTGTGCTGTGTCTTTATTTCTACGATCTCTCATCTCCGCACACGAAAAGAGAAAAAACCCACAGACACTGCAGGGCTGGACCCTATAGTCCATGAACTTAAAATGACCTTCATTCTATTCCCTTATGAATACTCCCAGTTGTCATTCACATTTCTCTCTCTGCCTGGCTTGTCATTCCTGCCTAGTGAGACCTGAAGACAAAAGATTGCCTTCCTAAGTCTTTATGCCCTTCTAGCTCAGGATCTGTAAGAATCTTAGTACTTGTTTTCTATCGTGGTGGTGTATTGAATTTGTGCCTTCCATCTGAAGAACTAGGGATTGCCCCAGGCTAGGTTTTCCCTGGGACTTGGAGAGAACACAAAGGTGAGCTCCCAGCATCAGAGCAATGGTTAGCATAAACTGGACACAGGTCAGGCAAGAGCCCCAAGGGAAGCTGTCAGTGATTCTTTTCACATGGGAATCTTATTTATAAGATTTTTAAGTAAGAAAAACCCTTTTTGTTATGGGTTGGACAACTAGGTATTAGACCATATGCTAGTAAAAAATTATCCCATGAATGGCAGACTGGAAACACCCATCTCCAGCTTCCCTTCATTTCCTGTTATGGCACAGTTGCTAGCTGTTCTGATCTCAGTTTATGTGGGGGTTCTCAAAATAAGGAGAAAGCAGGATTAGGCAATGGGAAAAGTTAGGTGTGATGCAGTGTCAACATAAACCTCAGCTAGTTTCAAAGAGACTGCTGAACCTGTAATTGCCCAATGGGTTCTTCTTGCCCAGTGCACATATAAAATTAATTTACTGAGACAGCGGTATTGCAGTAGAGAAAAAGTTCAGTTATCACAGGGCTAGCCAAGTAGAAGATGAGAATTTATTATGCAGATTAATCTCTTTGAAAATTCAGAGGCTACAGTTTTCAAAGGATGTTTTGGTGGGCATGGGGCTAGGGAATAAGTATGCTGATTGGTTGTAGATGAAATTAAAGGGGGTCAAAGTTGTCTTCTTGTGCTGAGTTGGTTCTGGATAGGATCACAAGACCAGTTGAACCAGTTTCTTGGAATGGATTACCAGTTCAGGTGGTGCCAGCTGGCCTTATCAGAATGCAGGATTTAAAAATACCTGAAACTCCAATTTTAGGTTTTTACAATAGTGATGTTATCTGTAGGATCAACTGGGAAGGTTACAAATCTTAGGACCTCTTGCTACAATGCCTGGTGATTATTTAACTGTGCCTTCAATTTAGCAGAGTTTAGACCCCTCCCATAATCCTAATCTTGTAGGCTTTCATCTGTTTTATAAAGGTGATTTTTGTTCCCACACAAATAGGGGGTAATTTTGGGAAAGGCTATTCTTATCCTTGCTTTAATATTCAATTATAACCTAAATTTCTCCTAAAGTTAGCTTTGCATATTCACAGGAATTAATGAGGAGAGCTTGCAGTTAGAAGCAGCATGGTGTCAGCTATGTCAGATTTCTCTTACTGTCATAATTTTGCAAAGGTGGTTTTAAAAATGAGATGGCTTATTCAGAGTAGTCTTGAATTGGGGTGAAGGAGCTGAGCCTTTTTGCCCCCACCTAAAGCAGCCATTGGTTGTGGGCTGCCTCAGAGAAGTTAATGAAATCTTAAGCAAAGCTATTTTCATTAGGTAATGCAAATCCAGTCAAGGGCTAACAATCTAATGTAGTCTGTTAGAAGGGTTCCAGGAAACGGAAGTTGAAAGTGTCTTATTGTTTTGCTTTTGGTTTTGTTTGAGACAGAGTCTCACTCTGTTGTCCAGGCTGGAGTGCAGTGACTCAATCACAGCTTACTGCAACCTCTGCCTCCAAGGTTCAAGGTTCAAGTGATTCTCCTGCCTCAGCCTCCCAAGTAGCTGGGACTACAGGCGCACACCACCACACCTGGATGATTTTTGTATTTTTAGTCGAGATGGGGTTTCACCATATTAGCCAGGCTGGTCTTGAATTCCTGACCTTGTGATCTGCCTGACTTGGCCTCCTTGTAATCCCTGGGATTACAGGCATGAGCCACTGCTCCTGGCCGAAAGTGTCTTATTCTTGAATGGGAATCTGGGTTCTGTATCACGCAATCCACTACAGTTTACCCTTTTTGCTACACCAAACTATGTATTCATATAACTTTTTAGAGTAGCCCTTCTAGAATTTGGGCACATTTATTTTTCCTAAGGGAGACATAAAATAGGAAAGCTAGTGGGACAAATTGCATCCCTTAGTATTGCAGCTGGGCTGTGAACAGTGACTAGTATGCATCATGTCTTATTATCTCCCTTCATATGATCATCTAGATTCCTGTCAAACTCAAAGAGCAGCTATGCCAGTATGAGTGGCTAAACTGGTGTTATGATTCAGATTCTCATTCATCAGTGAAAGAATATAATATTTGTAGGATGACCAGCTGGGCCAGGTCTTTTTGGATGATGTTAAGATAGAAGGTGGAAGAAACAACATAGCTCTGGGCAAGATTGTAAATGAATACTGAGGTCTATTCCAAGTAAATACAAACTGTTTCAGATCTGCTTTTCTGATAAAAATGGAAAAGAACCAATTTGCCAGATAAATGGCTGCATACCATGTACCAGAGACCATGGTAATTTTCTCTAGCAAATATATTACATCTGGCAGAGCAGCTGCAGTTGAGGCTATTACCTGGTTGAGTTTGCAGTTATCCACTGACATCATTCAAGTTCCATCTGTTTGTTTGTTTGTTTGTTTGTTTTTTGAGCCAGATGGATAAATTAAATGGAGATATGATGGAACCATAGATCCTTTAGGTCTTTAAGAGTTGTACTAATTTTTGCCATTTCCCCTGAGACTCAATGGGCTTTTATTTACTTTGTAGGCTAAGGACTGGTACATTTTTAACATCTACATGTATTTATTTTGTTCTAAAAGCATGAGGTTTTGAATTAGAGGTCAGGCTTATTATTACAGAAACAACAGCACTGATTCCCTGTGCCCTAATCTTCCTGGGGTGATACAATGAGGATGGATATAACCTGCACATCTGTAGGAGAGAGATCTTGAAATTATATGTATCAGAGCTTATATAGGAACTCCTTTATAGTTCCCCATCTCCTCCCACACTGCTCTTGAGCTAGGAAGAGAGAACTTATTTTTAAAGTGTGAACAAATTCTGTTTTGGAAGAGAAGGGGAAAGTCACTAATTTGTACAGCCCTTTGGGGTGTAAATAAATGACTAAAGATTTAATTATGTTTAAAATGTCAGAGCATGACCATAGGTATAACACACTTAGATGTGAAGAGCAAATAATTCTGGGGGAACTTGCACATTCTCTATAGCATTTCAAATTTCTTTTATCATAAGGTCCTGCCACGGCAGAAACATGAAAATACATTCCTCATAGAAGGTGGCAGTTTTAGAGTTTTACACTTAGTCTTCACAATGATAGTTCTTATCCTCAAAGGCAAAGAACAATTAGAGGGTTCTCCCAATTACATAATGTGTCTAAGAAATTACCCATTTGAGACTGGATGGCCTCCAAAGGCCTTGGGCGGCTCTGCCCTTGTGGCTTTGTGGGATACAACATTCATGGCTGCTTTCAAGGACTGGCACTGAATGTCTGTGGCTTTTCCAGGTGCATGGTGCAAGCTGCCAGATAATCTACCATTCCAGGGTCTGGAGGATGGTAGCCCTCTTCTCACAGCCCCACTAGGCAGTTCCCCAGTGGGGACTCTGTGGGGGATCCAATCCCACAGTTTCCTTCCACACTGCCCTAGTAGAAGTTCTTCATGAGGACTACACCATTGCAGCAGACTTCTGCCTGGGCATCCAGGTGTTTCCATACATCCTCTGAAATCCAGGTGCAGGCTCCCAAACTGTTGCCTTCTGTGCACAAGCAGGCCCAACACCACATGGAAATCACCAAGGCTTATGGCTTACACCCACTAAAACAATAGCTTGAGCTGCACTTGAGCCTCTTTTAGCCATGGCTTGAGCTGGAGCAGCTGGGATGCAGAGCACCATGTCCCAAGGCTTCACAGACCAGTGGGGCCCAGGGCCTGGCCCATGAAACCATTTTTTTCCTCCTAAGCCTCCAGGCCTGTAATGGGAAGGGCTGCCACAAAGGTCTTTGAAATACCCTGGAGGCGTTTTCCCCATTGTCTTGTCTATTACCATTCTGCTCTTCTTTACTTATGCAAATATCTTCAGCCTTGAGTTTCTCCCCAGAAAATGGGTTTTCTTTTCTACTGCATGGTCTGCCTGCAAATTTTCCAAGCATTTATGTTCTGCTTCCCTAATAAAATAAGTTCCAGCTTCAGACCATCAGTTTGTTCGTGCATATATGCTGTTAGCAACGGTCAGGTCAAATCTTGAATGCTTTACTGCTTAGAAATTTCTTCTGTCAGATACCCTAAATCATCTCTCTCAAGTTCAAAGTTCCACAGATTCCTAGAGCAAGGACACATTGCTGCCAGTCTCTTTGCTAACACATAGCTGGAGTCACCTTTGCTCCATTTCCCAATATGTTGCTCATCTCCATCTGAGAGCACTTCAGCTTGGACTTCATTGTTCATATCACTATCAGCATTTTGGTCAAAATCCTTCAACAAATTCTAGGAGGTTCCAAACTTTCCCTCAGCTTCCTGTCATCTTGTGAGCCCTCCAAACTGTTTCAACCTCTGCCTGTTACTCAGTTTCAAAGTTGCTTCCACATTTTCAGATATCTTTATAGTAATACCTCACTTTTCTGGTACCAATTTTCTATATTATTCTGTTTTCACACTGCTATAAAGAACTTCCCAAGACTGAGTAATTTATAAAGAAAAGAAGTTTAATTGACTCAGTTCCACAGGTTTAGTAGGAAGGATGACTGGGACGCCTCAGGCAACTTACAATCATGGCAGAAGGTCAAGGGGAAGCAAGTGCCTTCTTCATATGGTGGCAAGAGAGAGAGAGAGAGAGAGAATGAATGGGGAATTGCCCCACACTTTTAAACCATCAGATATTGTGAGAACTCACTCACCATCATGAGAACAGCAAGGGGAGAGGGAAATCCACCTCCATGATCCAATCACCTCCAACCAGGTCCCTCTCCCAACACTGAGGATTATAGTTCAACATGAGATTTGGGTGAGGTCACAGAGCCAAACCATATCAGCTCATATATCTGTACATCCCATATATCCCACTACAACAGGGACTCACTGTGAGATCCTGGTGTCCTGCATATCAGTGTCAACTTGAAATTTGTGTCTAATAGTCCTCAATATACATGACCCTTTCCTCTCTCATACATTTAATTGAATACATACTTTAGGTATCTTTGAAGAATAATCATTACCATGTACAGAAGACATGGTATTGCAGTTTTTCCTCCTGGAGACCTAGACTCTCCTTTATTCAGTGTGTTCTAAATATGAATTCTAACAAACTTGGAAAATAGCAAGGAATTATGACATTTTTTAAAGCTAGTGCCTTCAATCTTCTGATTGTCTATATTTGATTATATAAATGGAATATTACCTTGAATGACTGTCCATCTAATTTGCCCTTAGGGAAGACGTGATCCATTAAACATTTTCATCTGCTCTTTGGGCCTGTCCTTCACTTCAACCTTGTCCCAAATTATAATGATTTTGTTTACTTGGCTTCTGATAACTAAGGGTTGACAGAAATTGAGAGGTACCAGCTCCTAATGGGGAGACATGAGACCCTACTGCAGGCTCAGAGAGTTGAGGAAAATCTGGAAATGCATGGTTATGGGGCACATCAGCCCAATTATTTGCATCCCGTGTGTCACAAACCCATTCTGGCCCAGCTAGGGACCTGATCTTGAGATAGCTGATCTACATAATTTGATAGAGTAACTTTCTTTGAAACTCTGCTACTCTAATAACTTACAAGTCCTCAGCTTTTTCTTCCTTCTGGCTACAGAATTTGAGTCTTTTTCTATACTAAACAAGAAGGCCTCTGACTTTTATGTAAGGAGTTGTTTGTTAATCACTCTCATTCTTTTATGTTTTAAAGCATAAATTATGATTAGGAACATCAACTCAATTCCAAATTCCTCATAGTTACTAATTCTCTCTTATTCTAAAAAACAAACAAACAAACAAAAAAACAAAAAAAAAACCACAAGATTTTATATTTTGTACCTACTAGTTAATTTCCTTCTACTGGCATATCACTCCAGTGTACCACCACAGAAAATGTTAAAATGGCACCATTACCTATTGCCAGGAGCTTCCTTTGCTTTTCCTTGTACTAGTGATTGTACTAGTGCCTTGTACTAGTGATCATTTCCAGCTAAATAGCAGTTTATCCAAAAACTTATGTTAGTGTCTGCTTTCTCACACCAATACTGATAATAGATGCCATATGTTGAATTCCTCAGGAAGTAGATTCTAAAAATCCCTTTGAAGTAGCACCTGAGATGGAGATTAGCAGCATGTAGAAAATATAAGAAATGCTCTCAGGATCTTTACTTACTGAAGGGGAGGTTATAAAGCTATATTAGGCCAATAGAGAACTTGGGCTAAAATGCACTTTCAATGAAGGTCTCACATAGCCCCATAGGAAGTTCTGTAAATTTGAATTATTCTGAGTTTTAACAAAAGGATTGGGCATTTAAACCCTTGTATCAAAGTTAGTCACTAGTTTTGAGCTGTTCTTGTAAGGGAGTGTGATCTTAGATGAGACAACTCCCTTTACCTAAAGCAATTCTGCAAGAAGGCTGAGAGCAAAGTGCTAGCTATCTGCAGGTAACACTCAGTAGCTGAAGCAATAAGGCTTGAAGAGGGATCTGGTTGATGCATTCCAGTAGGTATTATATCTACTAAAGTAGAATAGGTTTTTTCTTTCTCACTCTCTCTTTTTAAAACACATTTTGTATGTACTTTTGGAGTTAAACATGATCAATTAACATGGACACTATTATGGGTTGCATTTTGTACCCCAAGATAATATGTTAAATATGTAACTCCTCAGTATTTAAGATTGTGACATTATTTGGAAATAGTTCTTTATTGAGGCATTCAAGTTAAAAGAAGGTAATTAAGATGTGCCTTAGTCCAATATAACTTGTGTCTTTATAAAAGGGGGAAATTTGGACATAGACATCCGCAGAAAAAGACAATGTGAGAGAACACAGGGAGAATGTCATGCCAAGGATTGGAGGGATGCCTCTATAACCCAAGAAACAGTAAATATTGCTAGAAAACCAACAGAAGCTAGGAAGAGTCAAAAAATGGTTGCCCTTCAGTTTTCAGAGGGAACATCATTTTTCTAAAACCACGATTTTGGACGTCTAGCATCCACAGCTGTTAGACAAAAAAAATTTTACTCTAAGATACCCAGTTTATGATTCTTTGTTATGGAAGCCCTAGGTAACTAATACAGAGACCAAAATAAATAATGTAACAATTCACTGAGACTTTTTCTCAGTTTAATTAATTATATTCCCCACTAAAAGATGTTTCTTTACATAGATGACATATGATAAAGATATAAATGAAGAAAATATCAGATATTTATGAGATTACTGACATTTGTAACATTATACAGATTGAGGATTTCGAATCTAAAAATCTGAAATCTAAAGTGCTCCAACATTCAGAACTTTTAGAATGCCAGCATGACATTGGCAAGGTGGAAGGTTCCATACCAAATCTGAAGTGGCAAGTTATAGTCAATATACAGTTAAAACTTTGTTTCATGAACAAATTTATTTAAAATATTGCATAAAATTACTTTCAGCCTATGTGTATAAGGTTTATATAAAACATAAATTTTATGTTTAGACTTGGGTTCCAACCTGAAGATATCTCATTATGTTATGCAAATAGGCCAAAATCCTCTGGTTCCAAGCACTTTGAATAAGAGATACTCAAGCTGTAACAATATTAAAGGTTAATACAAAATCTGGAGAAAAGTGATTTTATGTATTGATCATTGAACAAGATAAAGACAGGTTGTGATATTAAGTGGTCTGAGTAGTACTCACTGAAAAGATAATGTTTGAGCAAAGATGGTATGGTACAGTTGGGAGCATGCATGATAAACTGTAAGAAAATTAATGTGCCCAAAGTGAACAGAGTGAATACGTTATGGGGAAAATAATAAGACAAAATTTTTTTTAAATTTTGTCTCAAAGAAACTTAACGATTGTTAAAGGAAACATACATTTGTAAAATGAGATTCTATTGCAATACTTTTAATAGAGAAGTGATATAATCTGATTTTCATTTTAACTACATCACATACATTATTTTATTAATAAACATTAAAAGAGCAAACAATAGAAGCAGGGACAAAAATTAGGAGACTACAACAATTCAAGTAAGAAATGATGGTTTGGATCTGGGTGGTAACACCCTGGCAGATTCTTTAGATTTAGATCTGACTCAATTGTGGAGTTGGATAAGCAATGTATAGATAATTATTTTCTGACTCTGGTGGTGAGTAAAAATGCTAGGTCCCCAGGAGCAGCAGTTGGGAAGCAAAGACAGGCATGAATCAAAAGAGAGTGTCTACAAACTGAAACCTCTGAGGACGAATTGGATCCCAAAAGAACAAACTGAAACATACAGGACAAAATAAAATCTACATTTAACATTCAACAACTCCAACCTAATTAATGCACATTACCTCCAGAAGAAACTGGCACCTTTCACCATAGAGCTACACATTTACCTGAATCAGAACTTGAAGAAGCTTAATGAGAAAATCTAAGGGAGCTGGAAGAGCTGTAGGTCTGGCTGCTGCCCCAAACCAACAAGATATGCCAGCATATCAGTGCCCTGAGTCATCTGCAATTGCACCTGATGCTCTACACCAACTCTGAGAGTAAAATGACTGCTGCTTCAGTTCCACCTTTCAAAATAGCACTGACATACCACTTGCCCCCAACCTAGCCTGTAATCACGCAGAAAGGAAATTCAGCCTGTAATTTTGCAGAATGGAAATTCTGAGAAACTTCTTTCCACATTGCTAAGTTGACACTACAAAATCACCAAAATTTATCCTTTGTCAACTTAGTCCATGTATATTCTTCTAAATGTGTTCAACTTTTTTAATAAGTCAGAAGCAAAACTATGCTTTCACTTAACATGATGTAACTATCTTTCATGCAACTTAAAATATAACTCTCTTTCTAAAATGTATATCATATATTACCTCTATTTTACATATGCAACCTAACCTGTAATCATGCAGAAGGGAAATTCAGCCTGTAATCTGGCAGAAAGGAAACTCTAAGAAACTTCTTTCCACATTCCTACGTTGACACTACAGAATCACCAAAATGTATCCTCTGTCAACTTAGTATCCATGTATACTTCTTTTAAATGTATTTAACTTTTTTTAAAAAATCAGAAGCAAAAGCATGCTTTCACTTAACATAATGCAACTATCTTTCATACAACTTAAAATATAACCAGTTCTCTAAAATATATGTCATATATTACCTCTATCTTATCCATCAACCTATCCATTTATCTTTGAGTGATGGCCATTATTCTTCTAACTGGGTCATAAACATCCTTTGACATTCTGCAACTTAAATACTGAAATGTAAGTTAGACCACTATTACATTGTATTAGATTACATAGGAATGGTGAAGGAGAAAATAATTTGTTGACATATAAACACATATTTATACCAAGATAAGAAAGAAATACTTTATTAAAGTCTTTGTTTTGGCCATGGGTTACACGGGCATAGCTAGTATTTATAACTTCCACAACCTCTTCCATAGTCCCTTTATTTTCTCAGCAAAAATTTAGAAAAGTGGTAATTTACTGTCTTGTAATTTGCTCCTTTTTTAAAAAAAAAAAATGATCAGGTCCTAAACTCTCCTACCCACATTGGATTTTTTTAGTTTTACATTGAATTTTATCAAAGTACATGGCTAAACTGAAAGGTTGCCTGGGAGAGTCCATGCATTACAGATATCCTATTCCTCATCTTCATTATGTAACAGCAACCCAATTTTACCTTGATTATTAAGATAAATAGCCCTAATCAGTAAGTAACCCTATTGTTTGTTAGTTCACTGACATGAGGAGCTGATGTAGACAGACAATAGTCCGAACTGTCATTTTAATAGAACAGATGCTATGTCTCCTGGTGACACATTGAGAACCAAGGTCTCTAGACCAACCAGGCCCAAAACTGGGGTGACTGAAAACAAATATTCCACTAATAAATTATCTTGAGTAATAATAGCAGAAAGAATTAGCTGATGTACCTATAACTCCACCCCTTAATTCCAGACTTAGGAATTCTAAATATAGAAAACACATGACTGGGCTGGGCACCGTGGCTCACGCCTGTAATCCCAGCACTTTGGGAGGCCGAGGTGGGTGAATCACTTGAGGTCAGGAGTTCGAGACCAGCCTGACCAACATGGTGAAACCCCATCTCTACTAAAAATGCAAAAATTAGCCAGGCGTGGTGGGGTGTGCCTGTAGTTCCAGCTACTCAGGAGGCTGAGGCAGGAGAATGGCATGAACCCAGGAGGCGGAGGTTGCAGTGAGCCAAGACCGAGTCATTGCATTCCAGCCTGGGCAACAGAGCAAGACTCCGTCTCAAAAAGAAAACAAACAAACAAACAAAAAAAAAACAAAGAAAACACATGACTGTATATAGGTCTATGATTTAGAGAATATCTATATATACCCTGTTATGAGGCTATACTGCAGCCACACAAGGTGTTTCTAGCTGATGGCTTAAGGGCATCTCTAAAAGGCCCTTCAGTTGTTTCATCAGGGCAGCTGTTTCAGTGTGAAGGAAATATGGTAAAACAAGAAACATTCATAAGTATGAGGCCATTTCCATGCTTTCTATAAAATGAGTTCTTTAGCAGGAAGTAATGCTATGGAAAATTTTCCACACCATGATGAAGAATAAGACATTAAATATGATGGTTTTGTTGGAAGATTTATGAATAGGAAAGATATTTCAATATTCAAAATAAGTGCCTATTAGTATGAAGAAAAATGCTACCCCTTTCCATGACGGAATTGACCCAATGTAATCAACTTGTTACCTAATATCTGGCTGATCCACCTAAGAAATGATGCCATATCTGGGCTCACGTTTGATATCAAATATTGAAAATGAACCACTCAGTAGTAGGTGTAGCCATACATGTTCTCATGAGAAGAAATCCATGTCTTATGTACATTCCATAGACAAATAGAACAACTGCTAGTACTATAATACATCCTTAATAACCTTAATAATACAGATTGTAGCTCCCAACAAGCTTTTGGATTTTGAAACTATAGACATTTTTCAGAATTTAATGAGGTTATTTTTCTATTTTTTGATATTTCCATGTAAGATTTTCTCCTCACTACCAATGATGAAACATGAATATTTAAACCTCTTACAAGTTTCTGTCTCTCTACACACATACACATAAACATATTCTTCTCACCTATGGATCCAATATTGTTATAGATATATTTTTATAATATTACTTTTCACTATGTATGCCATTATAAGTAGTTAAATATTATTTATAACTAATTTACTTAATGTTCTGTGTTTCTTAGGTAACCTTTCTTACATAATTGTTTTCTCTTGAATTGTTGATTACACTTTTACATTTGCTGATTTGAAAAATTATTTTATGTGTGCGTGTGTGTGTGTGTATGTATGCATTTATGTATAAGAGATTGCAGGCTGAAGCGCAGTGGTGCAATCATAGCTCACTACAGTCTCAAACTCCTGGGCTCAAGTGATCCTCCTACCTCAACTTCCTGAGTGTCTGGAACTACAGGCACATGCCACCATGCATGGCTGATTTTTTGAATTTTTTTAGAGACTGGGGTCTCGCTATGGTTCCCAGGCTGGTGTTATAATGTTTACTGTAGCTTTTTTTTTTGAGTGATTTTATTATAATTAAATGTAATATAATGAATATTTTATTCTAAATAATAAAATTTCTTCCCAGGAATGATTATTGAAATAATACCAGCACAACCTGGATCCCATTTGTCAGAGATAGTTTTTCCTAACAAGTTAGTGTATATTCTTATGGAATTGTTCCCATGCACATATGCATGTGTAAGAAATATATATTGCTTGTACACCAAAATATAATATGAAGTATACAAACAGAAGTAGCACAGTGTAATGATTTATGAGCACAACTCTGGAGCTTAGTTTGAAATTACAAAGTCCCATTTCTTCATCTGTAAAATGAAGTACATTATAATAACTACTTGATAGCCCTGAATATAAATATATACACAGAAATAATGTTTAACCAAATATCAGGGCACCCTGTGGTCCAGTCAAATTGACATTTAAAATTAATTATGGTAGCTTTCTGATATAGTACATGTTGTCTCCAAATACTAAAGAGGAGTACCATAATTCTGCCTCATTCTCAGTGATAGAAAAGGCAACATTCAGTAATGTTGCCCTTTGCCTTGAAGAGAAATTCTTAGCACTTCTAATTAATATCTCTAATTACTGAAGTCTTACACATTTCAGCATGGGCAGGCTGAACCTTTGTGGGGTCTATCTTTTATTTCCTGGCATGCGTATTTCTTGTTAGGGCATCTAGTGTACTTGTTAATTCCTGTTCTTTAGGTATAATTAGAATGATATTGTGGAGCATTACAGTGGATGACTGTGAATTACATGGAATGTCAAGATGATCAAGGTCCTTTCAAGATGTATTGCAACAGAGCAAGACAGTTAACATAACTCTGGTGTAAAATATTTAATGTGAACTGCTGTTCGTATGTGCATAGGGACTGAATTTTATTTTCTCCAATGACAGGGATTGCAACTAATGCATTTTCTAGATCAATAACCTCATAAAAAATTTCAGAGACTGTATTTTTCCCCCCAGTGCAGACACCATACAAGTTGTCATGGGAACTACTGCTTAGTCAACCTATAATTGGGACAACGATTTGGTTAAGTTTTCTGGAGTAATTTACCACTTTGAATGGGAGTAGAGATCTGAAATAAATGAGGAAACAATGAGCACCACTACTCTTTTATCCTCATCTTTAGAGGTAAAGAGGATAGAGGTTTTCAGTTTTAAAGGCTCTCAGCTTCACCCTTCTGTTCATTAATGTCTCTTAAATTAAAGGTCAGTGGACCAAAGTGAGAGTTATAAATTACTAGATGTACCTATTCTAATTATATATTGAAAAAAGTATGAGCTTGTGGGTGTTTTATTTACTAAAAGACAGAGGTAACCCAAGACTCTATTTATCACCTGGTTTCCATATGCCTCCTGCCTACAAAGAAGCCCATTCCTTTTTTCAGGTATCAGTTTCATCTCAGAGCTTCTGTTGGACAACGCTGAAAAGGTTTAGTTGTTTTCTCTCTCCACTACCATGTAAATGACCACAAACCCTTAGGAAGAATTGAGGAAATATTTACTCCCATATTTGCAGTGCTGTTTCAGGGTCATTTTAGGGAAATCCAGCCTTCATGTCTATAGACTCTGGATTTAAGAAGTGCTCAGATATGTAAACAGGGTGTTAAATCACGATTTGCCATTTGACACCTGATATGAGCCTTCTACTCAACAGATTTTTACTTCATTTGGTTTTCTTGTTATAAGAGTTTAGTAGCAACTAGGTCACTTGCTACTTATCTCACTCTTGGGAACACTGTGGTTTATTAGCTACTACTATAGGTTCCTGTAAATATAGATCCCTGTAAATATAGAGACTTTGGCTGCAACTTAGTATTTATTGTACATTTAACTAATTATTTTTGCCTTGCATTTGAGGGTTACATGTCAATATCTGACCTTTGTTATTCAAGAATCATCTCCTTCCCATTAACATGGAAAAGCCCAGTTACATGGCTATTAATGTTAAAGTTGCCCTTCTGAGAAAATTAACCATTTAGCTAATCATATATGGTAGTGCAACCTTACAAGTACATTCCTTTTTATAATAATAAAGTTAATGCCCTCTTAGCTAACCTGGAAAACATCCTTGGTTTGTAGATTCTCTGAGTTTCTCCAATAAATTCATTTTAACCATACCATACACCTGTGCATTATAAAGTCTTCGTCATACTCGGCAGGGCAGTTTTGGGAGTTTTATTTCATTTCTTTAGCATATTAACATGTCATGGTTTCAAAGAACCATCTTCCAAGAATATTGTGACTCCCATGTCATGCTTACATTTCAATAACCTCTTCTCTATAAAGTCTTGTATTCTACTCTTTGAGGGTTCAATACCCTCAAGATCCATTTTTACATGTACTATTCATCTGTACATTTAATTACTGCAATTAATATAATGAGTAAATTACTTCTTCCCAGAGAAAAGACTATCTGACCCAACTTAGACTATTCTGTCACCTCACTTTTGTTAATGCTGTGAAAACAATTAGGAGAGGTAAGGAGTATACTGAGGAGGATAATCATTACAAGGTATCCTCATAAAACGAGGTTTTGTTGTTGTTTTGTTTTTTGCATGGTCTCTAGACAAAGATTTCTCTTTCTAATAAAAAGGGTGACATATGCTGGCCCAGGGGTGTTAGGGCAATCTGGTGTTAAAGGTTTTCATGTGCATCCATCGAAATGTCCTCATCTGGGTCCCTGGACACACTCTTTTCTAATCAGGGCATTGACTTTGACATATAAATCCAGTCATAGATAACACTGGCTTTCCTAACATATCCAGAGTGAGAGATAGCTACCCTGAGCCTATAATTCTGTTTCTTTAAGACTTAAAAGGCATTTAATGAGTGCCATTGACTAGACAATTTTTATGATCATTATCATTCCCAAATCATTTAAGTACTAGAGCATTGATACTCAAAAATTAGTGAGCATCAGTGTCTCCTAAAAAACTAATTAAAATACAGATTTCTGGGCCCTGAACCTCAGTTTCTCATTTAGTAGGTCTAAAATGCATCTAAGAAATGGCATATGAACAAATTTCTCAGCATGGCTGATGTTTCCAATTTGGGGATGCTCCACATCTCAAGAAATATGTGCTGCAATTCCTATATAACTCCAGTCCCTCCTTTTCATTTGTACTTAGTTCAAGTTCACTAAAGGTGAAATTCTTAGTTATTGAAATGCAATAATATGACAGAGATTACCACCAATCTACTTGCCATCAGCATTGTATCCTTCTTGCCATGCAGCCATTGAGAGATCTTCTCCTCCTCATCTCAATTACATGAGTCTACTTACTTCAACCTCTCCTAATAACAACTCTTTAAGTTTGGTATCCCTTGAAAGCAGAACCTGTCAGAAAGTCTTAGATACAAATGGTTAAGTAGCGAGGTGACCACAGAGATCAAGGTGATGACATAGGGAGAGTGATTGAAGGAAAAAGAAAAAGAGAATACAGTGATTTGCTAACAATATATATATGTGTTTGTGTGTATAAAATAAATTAATAATGATAGATTTGTATCTATATACACAATTGTATAAGATTGTGTGTATATATATATTTTTGTCCAGCATTGTAATGAATTATGCTGTATTAATTTTATTAATGATTTTTGAACTACAATTACCTAGTAGAATATGAATTGCTTGATTCTGACATACTGTTTTTAAATTTATCATTGAAAGTAGTTAGGTAAATAATTCAGAAGATTTGCATTTGTGTACATTTTTAAAAATAAATAAAATCTAACAATAATACCTCCTTCCTATTTCTTATACTTCATCCGGTTTTGCTAGAAGTCTCTATTTGCCTTATAGAATTAAATACTCTTCTCCCTTCTATTTTTTTGAAAAATATTTATTATATTAGGTTTCAATATTTTAAACTATTTGTTAGAACTCAAAACCAGAAAAGAGGGATATCTCTTCATTGGTAAGTGCCACTTACTATTTTACTTTATTTAATGCAATAATTTTTGAGCTTTTAAGTTTTGCATTTTATCTTATCTTGATTTTGTTCCATCACGCTTCCATTAATTTTAGCTTATAATGCTTTGATTATATTCAACATTATATTTCCCTTATAGTTTTCAATAGTTCTGTTTTGTTAATTGTATTATCTTCTTTAGTTAGCCAATGTAAAGAATTTTTTAAAGTCTTGTTTTAAAATATGTAGGGAAAAATGTTAGGAGGACATTTAATAACTTAAAAAGCCACTGGGATGGCACCGTGACCAGGTTTCACTGATACACAGCTGGATCAGTCTCACTCTGCCCTTGGAACCTGTCCTCTGAAGGTACTGATGCTGCCATTGCAGAACCTGAAATACCACCAATGGTACCCCCAAATTCACCTGTGATGGACAACGAAGTTGACTATGACACTGCTGTCCTAGCTGCCCTAGAAAGAAGTATATGGGGACTATTGTCTCTGCCATTAACACTACTACAAAGAATTTCTTCTGTGGTTCTTGCTTCTCTTTATTATCTTTCATGTTTTTACTAGGAGATAGCTGATATCTGTAAGAAAGAATATATAACATGTGTGAACGTTAAGAGGCATAGAATCCAAAGAACATCTGCATACTACATGTGAAACTTCAATGAAATTTCACCAAATGCCACTCAAGTTGTCATTTGTTGATTTTTATCATTTAAATAAAATATTCTCACTCCAGCAAGATGTCAACACTACACTGCTTCATAAAGAAACTACAACTTTTAAATTTTCAAAAGGCATCAAATATATTGCCACTTTTCTAAAGCTCAAAAACATACATGTAAAAAATGTATTGTTTTTAGAAATACATCGATATTGAATAAGACTATAAAGGCAAGCTCTCCAATATCATAGCCACTAGCCACATGAAACTCTTGAGCACATGAAATGTGACAAGTCTGAATTGAGATGTGCTATAACTATAAACTATACATTCAATATCAATGGCTCACTATCTGCTAAAGTACCAGTGAGGTGAGTATGTAGTGTAAAAAGAGTTAAAATGACAAGTACAAAAATACAAACATTAAATGTTTTTATTTACTCTTAAGATGCACTTTTAAAATAAATATTTTGAGAACTATATTATCACAAAATCATATAATTTTTTACATGTACATATATAATGCTGTAGAAAACCAGCTTTAGAATCACAATTATAGTTATATATATGTATTACCACATTCTGAAAAACAACATTCTCAGAAATTTCGTAGATAATATATTTACTATGAAAGATTTTTAAGATTTAAAAACTAAAATCAAACAGTATTTTAAGTGACAGAACTATATAATTACAGAGATCATATAGGTAAAACAAAATAGGACTGACCCTTTGGATTGCTTAATTAATATGCAATGTGCGGTTTTAAAAATTGTTAGGGCATGATTTGCTAATTGCTTGATAATTAAATTTAAAAAATCTCTAATTGAAAAAATATAGAATATTTCATTAATATTTTAAAATATTGAAGTGATAATATTTTGCACATATTGGACTAATAAAATATATTTTAAAATAATTTTTGCTCTTTCTGGCTACCCCCAAAATTATGTATTTGACTTTCACTATGTTTCTATTGGATGACATTGCTTTTGAGAAAAAACAAGGAGATGAAGATTCAGGGTAGATTTCTTCAGGTAGAGAGGATGATGTGATAGGATAGTCACACACGGTTTGCTTCGTTCAAGGTATATCAAAACCTTATCTCTAGATTTCCATCAAATTTACAGTATGATTCAAAGATTTACCTAAGGTTACAAAGATCAGCATGTTTTGTTTCTGGACACCTCTCCAAACTAACTAAACAATGTTCCTACCACACCAGTCTTCTTACTTTACGTAGAATATGGCAAGCATATTCTAACATCAGAAACTTTGAATTTTCTCTTATCTTCATTTAGAATACTTTTGCCTAGGATAGTTAGATAACTCCGATATCCCCATAGCTTCTACATTTTATTTATGTTTCTACTTAAAAGTCACCCTTTCAGAAATGTCTTTCCTCACCATCCTATAGAAAATTACATTCTTTATTTCATATTGTGTGCTGTATAACTCCTTTTACTATTTGATTTTTTCATTATCTCTTTATGTGTTTATTGCCAATCTTCCTTATGATAAAATAAACTTGGCAAGGGCAGAAACTGTTTCTCTTATTCACTGCTGTATCTGCAGCTGGATAAAGAGTGACTGGCATACGTTTAGCACTCAGTAAATGCTATGCCTAGCCCTTGTAACCTAACTGAACCTTACAAAATGAAAAAAAGAATGGATAATTAAATAAGCTAAAATTAAGAATAGCAGGCTGCAAAATTACCTAAGCATCAAAATCAAATTACTATATAGAAAAAACATTTATTTACTTAAACATAGAATGATATAGAAAAATATTTTTTACGAAAATGTTGCCAGTATTTTATCATGGTCATGAAATTACAGATTTTTTTCACTTTGATTATGCATATATCCTAGCTTTTTTACAATTAATATATTCTATTAATTCAAAAAATATGATGCAATATCATATTTAAATTAATCTTTAAATTTCTGTTTTTTGAAAATTAATTTGAAAGATAAATTGGGGTTTTCTAGATATAAAATCATGTCGTCTGCAAACAGGGACAATTTGACTTCCTCTTTTCCTAATTGAATACCCTCTATTTCCTTCTCCTGCCTGATTGCCCTGGCCAGAACTTTCAACACTATGTTGAATAGGAGTGGTGAGGGAGGGCATCCCTGATTGTATATCTAGAAAACCCCATCGTCTCAGCCCAAAATCTCCTTAAGCTGATAGACAACTTCAGCAAAATCTCAGGATACAAAATCAATGTGCAAACATCACAAGCATTCTTATACACCAATAACAAACAAACAGAGAGCCAAATCATGAGTGAACTCTCATTCACAATTGCTTCAAAGAGAATAAAATACCTAGGAATCCAACTTACAAGGGATGTGAAGGACCTCTTCAAGGAGAACTACAAACCACTGCTCAATGAAATAAAAGAGGATACAAACAAATGGAAGAACATTCCATGCTCATGGGTAGGAAGAATCAATATTGTGAAAATGGCCATACTGCCCGAGGTAATTTATAGAATCAATGCCATCCCCATCAAGCTACCAATAACTTTCTTCACAGAATTGGAAAAAACTACTTTCATATGGAACCAAAAAAGAGCCCACATTGTCAAGTCAATCCTAAGGCAAAAGAACAAAGCTGGAGGCATCACGCTACCTGACTTTAAACTATACTACAAGGCTACAGTAACCAAAACAGCATGTTACTGGTACCAAAACAGAGATATAGACCAATGGAACAGAACAGAGCCCTCAGAAATAATGCCACATATCTACAACTATCTGATCTTTGACAAACCTGACAAAAACAAGAAATGGGGAAAGGATTCCCTATTTAATAAATGGTGCTGGGAAAACTGGCTAGCCATATGTACAAAACTGAAACTGGATCCCTTCCTTACACCTTATACAAAAATTAATTCAAGATGGATTAAAGACTTAAATGTTAGACCTGAACCCATAAAAACCCTAGAAGAAAACCTAGGCAATACCATTCAGGACATAGGCATGGGCAAGGACTTCAAGTCTAAAACACCAAAAGCAATGGCAACAAAAGCCAAAACTGACAAATGGGATCTAATTAAACTAAAGAGCTTCTGCACAGCAAAAGAAACTACCATGAGTGAACAGGCAACCTACAGAATGGGAGAAAATTTTTGCAATTTACTCATCTGACAAAGGGCTAATATCCAGAATCTACAAAGAACTCAAACAAATTTACAAGAAAAAAATCAAACAACCTCATCAACAAGTGGGCAAAGGATATGAACAGACACTTCTCAAAAGAAGACATTTATGCAGCCAAAAGACACATGAAAAAAATGCTCATCATTACTGGCCATCAGAGAAATGCAAATCAAAACCACAATGAGATACCATCTCACACCAGTTAGAATGGTGATCATTAGAAAGTCAGGAAACTACAGGTGCTGGAGAGGATGTGGAGAAATAGGAACAATTTTACACTGTTGGTGGGACTGTAAACTAGTTCAACCATTGTGGAAGTCAGTGTGGTAATTCCTCAGGGATCTAGAACTAGAAATACCATTTGACCCAGCCATCCCATTACTGGGTATATACCCAAAGGACTCTAAATCATGCTGTTATAAAGACACATGCACACGTATGTTTATTTCGGCACTCTTCACCATAGCAAAGACTTGGAACCAACCCAAATGTCCAACAATGATAGACTGGATTGAGAAAATGTGGCACATATACACCATGGAATACTATGCAGCCATAAAAAATGATGAGTTCATGTCCTTTGTAGGGACATGGATAAAGCTGGAAACCATCATTCTCAGCAAACTGTCGCAAGGACAAAAAACCAAACACCTCATGTTCTCACTCATAGGTGGGAACTGAACAATGAGAACACATGGACACAGGAAGGGGAATATCACACACCAGGGCCTGTTGTGGGGTGGGGAGAGGGAGGAGGGATAGCATTAGGAGAAATACTTAAGGTTAAATGATGAGTTAATGGGTGCAGCACACCAACGTGGCACATGTATACATATGTAACTAACCTGCACGTTGTGCACATGTACCCTAAAACTTTAAGTATAATAAAAAATATATATAAAAAATAATAAAATAAAAAAAGAAAGGTGAATTGTTTAGCTACAGTTGACATTTTTTAAACAAAGCGTAAGCACAAAAATAAAATTTTCTTGTAGAATTATTTTCGTGGCCTTGAAAATATTAAAAAAAATATTCAAAGCACATAAAGTCAGCATAAGTTATTCAAGATAGACTTTAATGAAAAACAATTTTCTTAAAATATCACATTTTTTTGAGAAACAGGTAGAATTCTAAATCTATAAAAATTCTAGAATGAGTTTTTACATACTGTTTTTCTCTCTATCTTCTAGTGACAGATGATAAATATTGAGGGAGTAAAAGGGTAATGGACATTTTATCCTTAGCTTTGAGTAAGATTTTAATATTCAAACAGTTTGTAATTGACTCATTATCATAAATCTAAGTCGTTTAATGTAAAAATTTGCATTGTAAATATATATTACTTGTCTCAGTGGAGAATTTTCTTGATTTTTCTAGTAGGCACACAAGTTCTATGCTTTAAAGAAAAATAAAATTATTATAACAGGAATAATTATGTCTATTAATACCACAGCTCACTTTCTTTATGGTAATAATTTGAAGGTTGATTGAGGTGTTTTATATCTTTTCTTCATTTAATAAGATGGGTAAAAAAAACCCACCTCATTCATAAAGCTTTTAATTTATATAAAAATAGGGTATATTTAAGAATCTCTCAGTGGCAGCATGCAAAGATTATAACATTTTCTTATTATCTCCAATGCATGTTAAATTATTTTTGATAAATTAAAATTAGGCATTTTGATTAATTCCCCTTTTCCTGGCAACATATATCATACTTTATTCAGGATTAAATTAGACTTTTAGAGTTTAATTAATTCATTTTAAATGCACATAACTTCTAGTAGCATATAATAAAAATTATATACATATATAAGAAACAATAGATCCCTCTGGCCTTTAGAATTTAAATAACTCAGTTGAGTAAGAACTGCTTATTACTTGTGTGGTACAAATACATATATCTCTTCCACTTAGAAAATCAAACATAATTATACTAAATACAGTTTGGTACTATAATAAATCAAACATTTTATTATAAATAACCAAAATGTTAGATTTTTGAATTATACACATTCATCTTTAAGTAATTGTTTGAAAAATGAATATTGTTAAGTATGTCTGAACAGATACTGTTCTGATGGGTGGCATATTTCTTTTAATTAAAAAAGTTTAGTAACATAGTGATTACTAATGGATCTTTAAAAAGAATATAAAACTCATATTTTTAATTTTATTCAGAAGCAGTAAATAATTATTAATAGCATTTTGAAATTGGGATAATTGACTCTATATTTTGAAATTCTACTTCTTCCAGACAGTAGAAAAAAACATAATAATCAGAAAGGAAAATTAAACTTATTAAACCTATAATATTTAGAATATGTTGTCTTCTAGAATAATAAAGCAATGAACATAATAAATAAGAGTTTCCATTTTCATTCTTGGTTATACAATCTAGTTTGGAAATCAAGTGAGAAGGAAAATAAGTACAATAATTTCAAATATGGTAAGTCCTGTACATTTTAAGAAGAGAGTGCTGTGATTGTGATTTATGCTGGGAGAAGGAAGGAAATGGCTTCATTATGTAGGAAAGTCATCAGGTTTTAATGTTTTAATTATTTAAAAATTGAAATATAATACCAAAAGATCTATACATGAAAGGTGAAAGGAAAACTGTTAAGATTGGAATTGTTAGTGTATTTAATTTAACACATTATATTTTTAGTCTATTTTAGTTCCTTTGTGTTTCTCTTATCACCATCCATGGACTGAATTCCCTGAGGATGGGGATGTTGTCCTCTTATAGCCATAAACTTGCACAGCACCTGCATTTAGAATACCCTAGATGCATGTTTGTTAGGAATAAGAATTAATGAATGGCTAATTGTCCTCAGACATAAGATCCTTTAAGAGGGTTTGATTGTTAATAAAAACCTAACTTTCCTGAATGCTAGGTGCTTTGACAATAAAGATTCTCTATTTTAGCTTTTATCCACTTTATTCCACAGATTATAGACTAATCAGATTCCAAACAGTTTCCACATAAACATTCTACTTAGTCAAAATATATTTAACAGTGATCTTTAGTAAGTATCTAGGTAACTGTACCTCTCAGTAGACACCATATCAGATGATGCCTCAAGCTGATAGAGCCAATTATTATTCTTTCTGTTGCAATTGACCTAGCTCAAAAAACTCATGATTTTCAGTTACTGGTATGAGAACATAGAGAGACGCAATAACACAGAAGTATATGATTTTTTTTAGTACTTGCTGGTGGTTTCTGGAAGAGCAATACTAACACAAAATAAATGTTCTATCTCTTTTTCATATTTGGAATCAAAACATATAATATAAATATGAATTTTATGACTCAAAGGCAAAATTTTCCACAAAAATTATGCATTCATTTTTATTCTAATTTGTGACTTTGTATCATTAGGTTGGATTATAAATATTAATACTTTATAATTAAAATATACCCCTGTATTCCTATAACACATTCCTCTGCTACTCAATTAATCCCATGCCTTAAACTATTCTTCATATCATAATTAAGATTTCATACTAATTATTTACTTTCTGTTGATTTACTAAGTTTCCATCTGAAATTTCTCATAGTCAAAACCTTTTGCAGATTGAGTTTGTGTCCTTTATTTAAAATTTGAAACTTGCATAAATATATTTTAAAGATATTACTGGTCATCATCAATTTTATATGGCATTTTTCCCCTTTCTAGCACTCCTGGTTTGCCTAACCTAATAGAAGAAATTTCTCTCCCCCTAAAGTGAGAAAATGTTAACATATTAAGAGGCTTGCTTAACAAAAAAAAAAAAAAAAAAAAAAAAAAAGACCTGTTTAAAAACACATAGGCCACTTAGACTTATTATAGATGTGGAGAAGTGTAGGTTTTCTAGGTTTCTAGGACATCCATCCTCATTCAGTTCTACCCTGATCGCCAGTAACTGTTTCCCTGCTTATGTGAACCACACACTAGGGAGCCAATTACCCCAGTTGTTTTTCAGAAGGCTTGCAGGTGTCCCAAAGAGACAGACCCTTTTAATTTAAAACTTCTATAATACAGTGTTTTCAATGGCTTTCTGATGATTCCTAAAACCAGTACTTCCTCATCTTTGGGACAGAAGACTCCTGCTTTTTCCACATGAAGAATTTTGTGCATTACGTTTCTTTTTTCTCTAAAGTTTCAGTCATCACCGTTGCTCCCTTTACCTTTTTCTGCTCTTATTAAGTCTTTGGGAGAAGAAAACGGGTTCCTAAATTTTTTTCCTTTTGCACTGGAGTGATTTTTCCTATATTGTTAAAGGATAAATTAAAATGATAGGGGTAGAGAAGAATGAAAACAAATGCGGCATGAAGTGATCAGTACTTGGAGAAACCTAACCAAAAAAGAAATAAAAAATACCGAGAAACCTCACTTTTAGCAGCCCACTTAACTCCTGCTTTGAAAATTTTTGCTTTGCATATTGAGCACTCGAATTCGGGGACTTGTCTTTTTTATTTTTCTCTTTCCATTCAAGTCACATTGACTACCACTCTTAAGGATGTACATTTCAGGGAATTTTTTTAAATCTAACATGCACATTTAGGTTTTCCTTAAGTGAATTTGCAACTCAGTAGTTCTCCAGAGAGCTTTTCCCATAGGATTCACTGAGCTTCTATTCTCCTGACCCAACTGCTCAGTATTCCAGTGGTCTTTGCGAATCTCAATTCCCTTTGTCAGCAAACAGTTTCCTATTTCTTTTTTAACTTTTCAGGACCTCATAGATCAAGAAATAATTGCTGTCTACTACTATAAAATATTTGAGGACTTATTTCTATAAATTATGCATTTTTCTTCACTTCTAATAAAAGTATTTTTGGTCCCTTTTACCTATAGACTGGATTACTATAAATATAACTATGATACACAGATTTAGTCACGTGAGCTCAACTGACACAATTTAAGCAGCAATGGATATTTTAAAGCTGCTACTCCAACATGCTTTAATTACTAATGGTCTTTCTCTTGGAGACTGCCTTTTTGATATAAGATAGAGCTCTCTAAAATCTCATACCTCTTTATGATTTTGCTCCCCAGTGAAGTCCTGTATTCTCTGTCTTTGAATTCTTCCTTACCTATTATACTTTTATAACTTGGATATGGTTTATTTGTTAGATTTGAAACTAAGCTTCTCTATATTTTACTTGAAGCATTTAAATTTAATCTTGAACTTTACCTTATGAATGGGAAATGACATATATGATTCCCTATTTCAGATTTTATATACCTTCAAAATTATCCCAAGTGACAATCAAGAAAAACGATCAAATCCAATCTTCCGGGAACCTATGTGTTAGACTAACCTTTATCTTGAATTATTCTGGTAACAGTTTATTGGGAGAAATGTGTAGTTTTTTGATACCAGGGAATAGCTTTTTTCTTTCTGTGTTTTCATTTCTCTATGGATCTTTCTCAACAGTCAAAAACATATCCACAGCAAAAAAAAATTTTAAGACTTACAAGACATACAGTACATAAACTGACGCCTTCTGTACTGTTTTTTTTTCCTTCTTTTAAAAACAGCTGGGTCTTATATATCTTTGTACATATCCTGCCATATAAATATGCCCTGTGAAATTTTCATCTTCTATACTGTTCATAGTAAACTATAGCCAGGGCTATTACTAATATGACATGTTCTTATTCTTGTATATTTTTATTTCCAAGATACAACATTTTTGGTGTTTTAAAAATATTTATTTTTCAATTATTAACTTCCATTTCCCAATTTCTATTCATCTTCTGAAGCTTTTCTCTTACCTATCTTAATAATTATTGCATGTATTAAGAAACAGTTGCTATATTGTCAAGTTAAAATATTTTGTTTTTATAATGTTAAAAAATATATTATGGGATTTTGGAGAGCTGGAGTTTTGAAATATAATACACTTATTGAGTAATCTTTTAAATTTTTAGAATAAATGTACAAAGAATTACATATCTATATCTATGTCTGCTTACATATCAACATATGTAGATACACACAGGTACATTTATGTAAATATATGTGATTAGCTATAGATAATCATACATATGTAAGAATGTGGGCATGTATAGACATATTGCCTTTTTCTAAAATGTATGTGACATAATATATTCAATAAAAGTACAGATTACTACATTCTAAATTTGATTTACTTGATTTTAGAGGATAGATTATACTAAAAATTGCCTGCAAAAAAAAAAATTTTAAATCTCATAATTAAACATGGAAAGGTTCTATTGAGCCATAAATTCCCATATTACAGACATCAGATGAAGTCTGACATGTGCATTAATTATATAGTATCAGTATTTTTTATTTTTAAGTTTAAAACAGTATTGCATCAAAATATAGTCAGGATTATATATTCAGACTGATCATATGCTGGAAACCTAAATCATAGTTTACTTTTAAAGTTTCTGAGTGTTCATATCTAAGACATGTTGAATTGCTGTTTGGAGAGATTTTTATTACAGATATGGTTGAGATAACACACTTTCAGGAAAACGGTCAATAAAATCTTTAGACTTTCTCACATGAAAAGAATCTGAGTTCACATTCTGAACCCTATCTCATTTGCACTTCTTTTTTTCTGATCAAATAGATTTTTCACTTTGAGTGGTGATCATAATGCATTATAACTTCAACTAACATTACAAAAATTCTAAAAGATAGTTTAATATTTTGCTTTTCTATAACATAGACATTGAAGAAGTTTTTGCACAAATATGTATACATAATACATTTACTAATATGTTGCTTGGGTCATTCTAGCTTGGAATGGAAAAAGATCATGTAGATCATTCACCCTCCACTTTCTCCCCCATACTATATTACTGTTGAAGAATCTTCTGTGTTTTATCAAACTATTGCCACGTAAGCATGTGCTAAAATGTTAGAGATTTAATTTAAAAATTTATTCAATAATTTCTCTGTGTCCATCCGTAATTACAATAGGTCCTTTGTGTTGAGGTGGGCGTCCCTTGTACGAAGTTGATACTTATCTCTATTTCCTTTTTTCTTACATTAGTTTTAATGTAAGAGAATTTTTTCAGTCATTTAATCTCATGAACACCTATTTGCTCAAAATGTAACAAATCGTCTTTTTTTTTTTTTTTTTTTTTGAGACTGAGTATCGCTCTGTCACCAGGCTGGAGTGCAATGGCGCAATCTCCCATCACTGCAACCTCCGCCTCCTGGGTTCAGGCAATTCTCCTGCCTCAGCCTCCCTAGTAGCTGGGATTACAGACACCGGCCACCACGCCCAGCTAACTTTTCTATTTTTAGTAGAGACAGGGTTTCTCCATGTTGGCCAGGCTTGTCTCAAATTCCTGACCTCAGGTGACCCACCCGCCTCGGCCTACCACAGTACTGGGATTACAGGCGTGAGCCACTGCGCCCGGCCCCAGATTGTCTTGAGCTACAAAATAAAATCTCTTTTATCTAATTAGCAGCCTTTATTTCTATCCTAGATTATCTGTGTTTTGAATTATTTTAGGGAAGATGCTTTCCTTTTGCTCTAACGTGTTTCATACAGTGGTAGTGGATGTGGTTCAATGGGACCTGCAGTCTTCTTTAGACAGTATAGCTATCATATACAATATACAGTGCATGCGTCAAACTAATGGTTATTTCCCCTTATCTCCCAAGCTCTTCAGTGCTCTACACCCTTAGCATAATGAATAAACCATCTGCTTTCTTTCACTCTATAAGACAGAAGCAGCACCTATAATACAATAAAAGTAGCTAATTTGACCAAAGTTCTAATTAAAATTATTCTTAATAATTAGCTATCATTTCTATCCAATATGGCAGTGACTCAGTGGAGTCAAATTTCTCTTAGTTTTGTGGGCAGGGCAGTCATTTTCAAATTTTAAAACTATTCCTGCACCAAATATTATCCTCTAAAGGAAATGTAAAAGGGATAAGAGAAAAATTGCATTTGATATATTTACTTCTAAATATAAATGAAGCAGTACATGTTCTGCCAAATTCAAGGCACAACATAATGGAAGGAGTGATTTTTAAGAGTTTACTTTTAAACAAGTAAAGTATAGTGTATATGCTATTTTTACTTGATGAAAACACATGCTTAACACCAGAAAACAAAACATTGATGAAGTGATTACAAAAGGTATTAATTGCAACCTGAAAGGATAGTATGATAAAAGTACAATGCTTGTGTAATCTGTGTCACTTTTTTTCTGAACTGTAAAAGCAGTTCTTTACAGCTATGCCCAAATATGGCATTTTTGTAAAAAGGATGCTTTTAAATTTCTATGAACCATAAAAATATTTGCTTTTCTATCATAGAAGTGGTATTCTATTTCTTTCATAATGTAAACCATTACCTTAAATACCATTAAGTACTGTGTTATCATTTTTCTTGTACCTTCTGTTCTTGACATTCATACTGAATTCTCCTGTTCAATTCTACTAAATATTGACATTATAGCCAAGTAATCATAGAAAATACAGACTCCTTGTTTCTACTGTCATATTATTAATACTTCATCAATTATCTGTATTTATACCTATACTATATATATAATATATATAAATCTTGACTAAAATTTATTATTTTTAAAATTAGATTTAAAATTATAAATACTTTGAGCAAAATGAATAAATTTTTATTATTAAAAGCATTTGCTATGATTTGGTGATTAGAATAACAAAGGTAATATGACATATCTGACAGTGTCAAAATATTCTAAGGCTAATGAGTGGTCTTCAGAGATCAAATGGGGAAAAAGATGATGAATTATCAAAAATGCTTCATGAATTTGGCAGTTATTCATAGGAAAAATAATTTTATTTATAGGTAAGAGTAAAATAAGCTGATATTTTATAAAGCAGCAGTATCAGATTCCCTTCTTTGTGTGTATATCAATCTGTTAAAACATTTTATTGGTTTAGACATCAAAGTCAAGTACTTGGTCCAGTGATCTATATCTTTTTCATATAAGGTCATCCAATTATGTAAACTTTTATATTATAATTGAATATGTGTCTAGTCATTACTCATTTTAGAGTTTATACAATTTTGGCATACCACACAATATTACAGGTTCAATATATATCCTTTTAGGGATCAAAATTATTTAATGGAAATCAATTGTTTCATCAGCAGTTTTTACAAGCTCTTATACTTTCCAATTTTCACTAGTTTTTTTTTTTTTAAGATGTACAAAAACCTCCAATTTGAGAGGCTTTAAATGAAGGTCATATTATGTGACCAGTTTTTGTAATCCAACCGAATGCAAAAGAATAAAAACAAAACCAATTTATAACTAAGGGAATGAGTAAATATATGTACAGTTGTTAAATTGGGCCTATGTCAGTTTTTGCTAAGGTCCAAAAATGTGAGGTGACAACTACTCTCACTTTTGATAATAAGGTTCTAGATCACTTCCTCATGATAAGAAAAGGAAGTAACCAAGAGTCAAATCAGAGACAAATAAAACCACCAACAGTTCGAGACTTTTTAAAAATAAGTTAAAATATCTGAGAGAGAAGCAAGGAATTAAGAAGAAAATTGAACTGGAAATAATTACCAATATGTGTTATGAGTGTCAATTTCACTGATACATAGAAGAAGCCTGGAATGGATTTTTTTAGTCATGGAGACTCCTTAGAAAACTTAATATGGGTTTTCTGGAGTTTGAGAAGCACAATGGACTACTATAAAAATTATGCTTAAGAAACTTCAGTCAAGAAACTGAGTAAAGTGGCCTGTGGGTTGTAGCTGCAAACTCATTTACAGCAACATAAAAGTCCTATAATTTCACTACACAGCATAACAGAATCACCCTGGTGTTAATTCAGATGACATTTGCCTGGAGAGGTAAGGGGAATTCAGCAAAAATAATTTGGGCATATATATTCACATCCCAAAAGAGAAAGCAGCTGTCTGAAGAAGTCAAATGTTGGGGATCCTCAATGGCCTCTGAAAGGTGTCCCAGAAGAGAATAGTTTTAAACACCTGTCAAGCTCAAATTAATTACAGGACCCCTAATGTAGGCATATATTGTTTTATAAATCCTCCTTCCTTTTCTGGCTTTGATCTGAGGGGTCAGTAAAGACATTTGGCATGGGAAAGGCATAGAAGTACAAAGCACAAATTTGAGGAAGCCAGCCCCATTCCTCATTTCCATGAAAGGCTTTCAGGGTTAATTCTGACCTACAGAATTATGTTTTGTTTTCAAAGGAAGTACAGAATTTTGACTGTTTAATTAGATTGGCTATTTAATGACACTTTAATGACTTTAAGTCATTAGAGGGTTGTCATTATCTTACTGAAGAGTTAAGTCGTGAGACCTGTCTTGAATCTCATCCAGGTACTGGAGAATTAGACATCTAGCTTCATAGAAGAACATTTCTGAACAAGTAAAGGGGAAAATAATAAGGTTTTCCCTGTTATTCTCTGAGTTCCTCTTATTCAATGTGAAATTCCTCAAATTAAAGACATGTGAATGATTCTTAAGAAGTTTGTTGTTAAAGGTATTATATCTTGTCATTTTAGGTAATGCTATAATTATAACTGAAAAGTTAATTGATGCTAATAATTGTATAATAAATGGCTCATATTTTAGTGACCTACTACTGCATTGTAATTTTATGAAAAAATGTATTTTTCTGTATTTCTAAGTCTCAAAAGATTTTCTTAGCATTTCAATAATATTTCAAGCAACTGATTATCAATTCCAGTGTTTACATTTTGTTGTTAGAGATTTTTCCCCCAACTTACTTTGGTTAATTTTAGCATATGCTATGATTTTCATAACTTTTTTTCTTATGCATTCTTCCAAAATACATTAATTTAATGAACATATCTTAAACCACTTGATAGGTATTAGAGGATTAATTATCTTTGATTTATTGCTATTTTGTATGTTTTTTATATATGGATTATTATAAGCAGAAAATCTAATATTACATTATATTGCATGCTATGTAATTAACTTGATATTTGCAAAGTATACAACTGATAGTTCCAATATTGCTTAAATTGTGTCAAAATTATAATAAATACTTTACCTGAATAGAAGCCAGTTGTTTTTAATGCACTTTCCTTATGTTTTACATGCCTTTGGAATTGACTTTTAATTAATAAGAATTTTATTATGTAGCCAACTCTTTTATAATAAAGGATAAAATATTGACATTTTGAGGGAATTATTCTAATTCTATTGGTATGCAACCAACAACTTAATCAACCAACAAATAGCTCAACTACTTTTAAATATGGCTGGAACCAATAAGTCATCTAGATAAAAAAGGGGTAATAAGGTTGAATATATAATTAGACTGCAGAGTGTCTGAAATGTATGTCAAAATAATTGTTTTGTAGTTTGGTGGAAAGCCAGTAAAATTTTGAAAGAAAGAAGTTGACATAGTCAATACTTAATTTTATTCTGATTTATCTCTTGGCAGAATATATAATTTTTTAAAAAAATTGAAAGGGCTAGAATAAGAAAGTATTTATAGGCCATTTAGTAATATCAGAAGTTAATAATATTCAGAATTAGGCTGGTGGCTAGTTAAATTAAATAAAAGGGTAATTATTATGAAGAAAGAACTGGCAAGAATCAATTTCTGATTTAAAATGTAGATTAAGAAATAAATTCTAATTGTTTTACTGGAATAATGTAAATTTCATGTGTTTATACTATCCAAAAATAATTACATACAGATAAGAGATGCATTTAGGCATACACTGGGGTTTGTTCTTTTTTTACTCTGAGAGTAAGCCTCATTCAACTGAATTAGGCTGTGTACTTTTCCACTGTGTGGAGCATTCCATGAAGGATTGGACATTTTTATGTGCAACTAAGGAGGATGAGTTTTATATCCTCTTATTTATTATGTCCTGTGCCTGCCCAGATGTTCTGTCCTCTTGATATCTACAAAAGCGCCTTGCCTCATCCCATGCCATTAATTGCTGCTTTGCTGGCACATACCCTTGTATTAAAATAGAATATTTTAAAAAGACTTATCAAGTTTTGTATTATCTTGTCTTTTAATAGGTTAAAAATTACAAAGCAATTGAAGCCCTAAAAATTATAAAGAAAAAAAAATTTTAAATGGATAGAGTGTCAAGCTTGAGAAATGTCTACATGTATATATATATAAAAATACACACATATATATTAGTTTTAGATATAATTATATAAATATATATAAATATAAAAACAAGTGGTCAGAAACCAATTCAAAATAATATTAACAAAGATCATGAAAAGTCTGGTTACTTCAGATGCACTAAACACAACAAAACTTGGTTTATTTTTTTTCTCTGCAAAAGGTAGAGATTAGCCTCATTTGCCTCATTGAAGAACTTGTGCATGCTAAGCCACATCATCATATAAGAATGCAGCATTTCGGCTTGATGGAATAATAAGAAAAATTTCTTTTTGTAAAACTGATTCCAAGTTTAACTTGGCTTTAATAAAATAGCAGGATATAAGACCTTAGTTATTCTCACAGCGGGAATTTATGCTCGAACTGAAACCATTCATTTACACTAAATGAAAATGTGGCTGTTTGTATCTTCAAAATGAGTGTGGGTCTAGTCTAATGGCAAAAATTTAATAATATTCTGATATTTATTTCATATATTCAATTTTATAATATTGTGTTATATTTTTATGATATATAGAAGTTTAAACATTCTGGCACAGAAATGAGGCAGGACAAGGGACCCTTCATTAAACTTTACTCACTCTTTGAATTACATAGAATCACCATTTATGCTTTGGCGTCTTTTTCCTATATTTCATAATTTATAGTTTCCTACTAATTATATATATGTTTTGCTATGAATAGTCTTTCATTTTCATGTCTTGGGAGATCAAATGCTAAACTACTCTCTGAGTTTTTTATATAAAATAACCAACTTTTTCTAACCAAATATTTTCTCATATTTTATTTCTCTTAGAAGGAACTCATTAAACTGGCTGGTTTGTACAATAGTTATACATTAAATAGAATTGCCTCATTTAAAAACTACCATTTTCCTATAAAATTTTTATTTTATTGTGCATTTATTTCATTAATGTCTACTATTTAACTTAGCTGGCTTAGTCAATTTTCTGAGGCTAATAACATTAACTTGACTTAGTCTACTGAGCATTATAAATGTCAGAAAATGATTTTTTCTTTTCAGTAGTTGTCTTCTTTACTGCTTTTTTTCTCCACATTTTTTGACTCCTGCAAATATATTTGAGATTCTATTTTGCCATGTTTTTGCTTGACATCAAATAAAATGCACAAATAATTTATTCATATGTAAGCTCACTGTTAGTATGTTTACATAAACCATTAAACACATTATTTGCAGGTTTGTAGATTACACATTTTAGCACAAACTATTGCTCAAACCCACTATATATTTTATAAATGGAAAATAAACATGGACAGTTGAAGTTTTTTAGTAAAGAAGGTTTTAAATTCTCTCTTAAGTAGACTTATTTCCATTGATTATTTTCATTATATAAAGATGGACACATATAAAGAATGAGAAGAAATATTTCTTTTTTGTTAATGTTTTAGTTCTATTCATATCTGTTGAAGCATAACAATAATAACTTATTCAGATAACCATAAGTCTTAAGTTATAAAATATACATAGTAAATTTTAAACAAATTATACATATTTTTATTTCTAAGAAGTTATTAGAAAAACAACTAAAAAGAAATCTACTTCTGTCTTATTTTCTATTTTCTTGCTATTTTTCTAAAGATAGCCATCTACTATCACATTTCTAGAGTATCTTGTGCCCAAAGAATGTTTGATATAATTATTGAGTGAACATTTTATCTATATGTTTTATAATTTTGAGTGAACACAAAAATACAAAAAAAAGCAGTATTGGTTATTAGATAATGTTATTATATAGCTATTGGTTATTAGACAATGTTATGTAGCTATTAAATCTGTGTAATTCATAGGATAAAATAAGTAGTTGTTGTTGCTGTTGTTTTTGCATGTAGACATTTCGACATTTCCATTGCTTTTTAAATTAGAATCAGTATTAACAGGACTATATGCATAGGCTTTGGAAGGCCTTTAAAGAAAACCACTAAAGGTTAAACAGACACAACACAATGTGAAAATATAATTATCTCAAGTAGTCACAGTAATCAAGAGAAAGATGTCTTCAATGAGGTTAAATGTTAAATTATTTACTCAGCACTTATTTCTTTATTATAAGGGACATTTACTAGGCGAGTTCCCCATTCTCCCTTTAGAGATACTTAATATCTAGCTAATTCATTACTATTTCAGTAAGAAAAATTAGAAATATTTCCAGAGATTACTTTGGGAACCAATTACTATCCACACAGTGCATAAAACCATACTGAATTGGAGATGTTCACTCCTTACAATTCAGAAATACACTATGTGATAACATTCAGAGGCAGATACTGTGAAATGCTTTGAGGCCTAAAGATTTTATTTAAGAATATCATCATATATCATAAATGACCAAAAAAATTGGTGAAAATGAATCATCTCACTTCATATGATTGATTCTTAAGAAAAAGATGGGGACGGGCGCGGTGGCTCACGCCTGTAATCCCAGCACTTTGGGAGGCCGAGGCGGGCGGATCATGAGGTCAGGAGATCGAGACCATCCCGGCTAAAACGGTGAAACCCCGTCTCTACTAAAAATACAAAAAAAATTAGCCGGGCGTAGTGGCGGGCGCCTGTAGTCCCAGCTACTTGGGAGGCTGAGGCAGGAGAATGGCGTGAACCCGGGAGGCGGAGCTTGCAGTGAGCCGAGATCCCGCCACTGCACTCCAGCCTGGGCGACAGAGCGAGACTCCGTCTCAAAAAAAAAAAAAAAAAAAAAAAAAGAAAAAGATGGGCTGGGCATGGTGGCTCACATCTGTAATCCCAGCACTTTGGGAGGCCGAGGTGGGTGAATCATGAGGTCAGGAGTTCGAGACCAGTCTGACCAACATAGTGAAACCCCGTCTCTACTAAAAATACAAAAAAATTAGCGGGGTGTGGTGGTATACACCTGTAATCCCAGCTACTCGGGAGGCTATGGCAGGAAAATCGTGTGAACCTGGGAGGTGGAGGTTGCAGTGAACCGGGATCATGCCATTGCACTCCAGCCAGGGCAACAGTGTGAGATTCTATCTCAAAAAAAAAAAAAAAAAAAAAAAAGAAAAGAAAAAGATGACACCATTCTCCCTACTTCATCTGCCTCCCCACCTTACTCTCACCAAAATGAATAGATGCAAATAAATGGCTTCATGTGTATTTCACAGAAGTATTCAATCTCATAAACACCACATATTAAATTGAAAGTGAAGTGTTCTGTCTTAACATATATGTTAGGTGCTATACTGCTTTCATGTCAATACTAATAATAAAACAACTAATACTAAAACAGTGAGGTGGATGCTTTAGACGTTCTTGGGTCTTAAGATTTCAAGGATTAAATTTAGTTGTTTCCTTGTGTACCTAAATTAGGTCCACACACAACTTAGTCTGTTTCCTAAATTCATGCTTATTGACATGAGCCTTCTTTTTAAATCGAAAATATGTACAGATACGCAAGTCAGTCCTGGGCATTCTATAAATGAGTGTGGAACTTTTAGTAAAATTGCTGTAGAGCTGTATGATTAGAGCATAATTAGCATAATATATGTATGTAGCTAATATAGTCTACTTCACTTATTATTCATCAATAATATGAATCCCAATTCTATGCAAAACACCACATGAGCATTAAAACAATAATAAAATCATTTGGTATTTTTCATTCAGAAATACAATATATGTAAATTCAGAGCACGATATAACACAATATGAGTGACATAGACTTCAGTATTAAAGTAGGTAAGGTAATTAGAAGACATTTCAAGGGGAAGTAGGTAAGGTAATTAGAGGACATTTCAAGGGGAAGATAAGAATAATTAGTCATTTTTATAATGCATCTTAGAATCTGTAAATGTATTATATCAGAGGTCAGCAAACTATTACAGATTCCAGGCCAAATTAACTATATCGCTTATTTTTATAAATCAATTATATTGAAAAACATCCACATCTATTTATTTGTATATTGTCTATGGCTGCTTTTGTACCACAGTTGCAGAGTTGAGTGGTGCAACAGTGCAACAGGGACCACATAGCCTGTACAGCCTATAATACTTGATGTCTGGATCTTTACAGAAAAATTTTCCAGCTTTTGCATTATATCATTGGAAAAATGTTAGGACAAATATTGAATTATTTTACAAAAGAAAAAAATAGAAGAGATCTTGTAGTTTGGAGAAAACAGTAGTATAAGGTGACACTTGGTCCTTTCTACTAAATAGAACAAGAAATCCTGGTTAAAATGAAATAATTCAAAATCTATAAGGAAGGCTCAACCAAGAGGGTCTGTAAACCAAATTTTTTAAAATTGCAAACTGATATTATGCGAGCTCTGAAGAAGAGGGTGTTAGTACCAGATGTGAGCATATATTGTTATATATAAGGAGTTAGGTTTATAAAACAATTTTGGGACAGGCAATGAAACCTACCTTGTGTTTGATATATAGGCAGAGAGTAAAGTCTGGGACCAATTTTATAAAGCCACTGACCTTCACTGAAAAATTAATATTAAGTGTGTGTGTCTATGTGTGTGTGTGTGTGTGTGTGTGTGTGTGTGTGTGTGTATGTGTAGCGGTTAGTAGAAAATTGAACACAGGAGTGGGTTGAAAAGATCACATAGACGGGCATGGTGGCTCATGCCTGTAATCCCAACACTTTGGGAGGCTGAGGCAGGTGGATCACCTGAGGTCACAAGTTCGAGACTAGCCTGGCCAACATGGTGAAACCTCATCTCTACTAAAAATACAAAAATTAGCCCAGCATGTTGGTGGGCACCTGTAATCCCAGCTACTCAGGAGGCTGAGGCAGGAGAATTGCTTGAACCTAGGAGGCAGAGGTTGCAGTGAGTGGAAGTCTCGCCACTGCACTCCAGCCTGGGTGACAGACTGAGACTCTGTCGCAGTGAGTGGAAGTCTTGCCACTGCACTCCAGCCTGGGTGACAGAGTGAGACTCTGTCTCAAAAAAAAAAAATCACATAAATATTGATAAACATATACATAAATGTAAATAAGTATTAATTATGATAATTTGGGAGGCATACAAAACTGTAAGAAAAACAGATATAATCAAATTTAAAGCATATAAAACCTTGAATTATTTAACTAACGGGCATAGCCTTGATTTATTTAACTAATGGGCAATATTAGGAGTATTTCATACAGGTTAAAATAGTTGGGCTACTATGAAAAACAAAAGACGTATAATGCATAACTTTCTAACAAGTATAAGAAATTAACAGAAAGAGAACGCTATAAATTAAAAAAAAAGACAAAGAAAAAACAAAAGGGAAAAAATGTGTCAAAAGCAAAGAAAAATGCTTAATAAGTACAAAATAACGTGACAGGACTCAATGTAAAATAATCACAATAAAGATAAATGAATTAAAATGCCAGCAAAAACAATCTGGATTAAAAGACATGAACAACTCACAGTTTACAAAAGGCAGAGTAAAGCATAATGATGCAACAAGAATAAAAGTAAAAGAACTGATAAAACCATATGAGACAAATAACCAAAGAAACATGATTTAGCTACACTGTCAACAAGAATAAAAAGCAAGTACAAAGTAAATTACTTCATATAAAAAGTGTTTTGAGATAACAGAGTAAATAATTCACTAGTAAACTATAAAATTACAAAATTATATGTGCCTAATAACATAAACTACCTTTGTAACATGCAAAAAAAGAAAAAAGAAACAATAAGAAAAAATTTAAAAATCCCCAAGCAGCGGGAAGTTTTAAACACAGTTTTTAGAGATATTTCCACATTAACAAGAGTTTTTTTTACAGGTGTGGTAGCTCATGCCTGTAATCCCAACACTTTGGGAGGTCAAGGTGGGTGGATCACCTGAGCTCAGGAGTTCAAGAACAGCCTGGGCAACAAGGTGAAACCCTGTCTCTACCAAAAATACAAAAGAATTAGCTGGGCTTGATGTTGCCCACTTGTAGTGCCAGCTACTTGGGAGGCTGAGGCAGGTGGGAGAATGTCTTGAGCATGGTAGGCAGGAGGCTGCAGTGAGCCAAGATTGCGACACTGCATCCCAGTCTGGGTGACAGAGTGAGACCCTGTCTCAAAAAAAGAAAAAAAAAGAAAAAGAAAAAGAGATATTTTTCATTTTTAACTAGAATACAGAACATGCAAATAACATGACTATTCATCAAATTGATATATATATAATGCCTATCTATCTAAAATAATCATGTAATATATATTTTCAAACACACATGGAGTAATTACAAACATTGAACAATTAGGCCATAAAATTTTTTAACAAATATCAAATAATTAATATAATATAGAAAACATTTCCTAACTACGTTGTTGTTATAGTATATCAGAAATATTATTACTCCCTACCAAATTACTCATATATGAAAACTGAAAACATGTATATATATATATATATATATAAAAGAGTAAAATAATAAAGACTAATGGAAATATATGTGTTCATACACATACACACAATTAGAATTAAATGGTGATGAAAATATAACTTTGTTAGTTATACTTTTGTGCAGCTGCTTGTAACATAAAGCCCAAAATAACAGTTGTTCAATCAAAAGAGAAGTTTATTTCTCTCTCACACACATTAATTTAGAGCAATCCTTGGTGTTGAGACATGAGATCATCCATTACACAAGTTTCTGTCATGCTGCATTTGCCAATATTTGCTTAATATTACCCACCTAAAAAGGAAGAAGGAGCAGGGAAAGGTCATACCCTGTTCTTTAGGGACTCTTTCCAGAAGTTGCCCATAGTGCTTTCTTTTATATCCCTTGACCAGTTGTTAGTGATACAGCCACACACTGATGCAGAAGTTGGGAAATGATTCTTCTGGCTAGACTGGAGCCCAGTGGATACATTTAAGGTTTCTTTTACTATATAAGATCAGGTAAACAGATACTAGGAGGCAACTGATAGACAACCATAGTCACAACATGTTAAAACAGAAAGAGGTTCAATAACCAGAAATCAAAGCTTTAAAGAAGTCATTTCACCGGTAGCAGAATATATATTAAATGTTATCTCTTGAATTTATTTGCCCTATATAAAACTGCATTGTTTTTATAATTTATTAGATAAATTTCTTTGGAACAAAATATATTAATTTTTAATTTGTGTTTTATCTAGTATCCTGTATTAACAGATAAAAGTACAAATTAGTTTTAGACATATATAGAAAAAAAATTCACATAGTTTCCAAAATTAGTATTAAAAATAGATTGGCATTACTAGAAGTATCATCTAAATATTTAAAACAAATTAATATTGCTTCCTAACCCTCCCCTTCCTCCTCTCTCCTTACCCTTTCTCTCATGATTAACGTCCATATTCGACTTCAGAAAAGAAGTGTTAATTGCTTTTAAAGTTACCTTAAATCTCTCCTATGTTCTCTTAAGACTTACATATAAATGAGGCCTAAGAATAAAGATTGTTTTCTAACTTTTTGTGTCTAACTTACTATTATAAGGAATAAAATGTTGATGATAAAAATATTTTTAATTAGTGCATAAACAGTAGGTAATTAATACAGAAGAAAAAAATATCCTTGCAAATATACAGGTATGTACATATGTGAATGAGTGTGATTATATATATAGTACATATATACTATATATGTGTGTATATTTGTGTATATATATTATGTATATATAAAATACATATAATATCATCTGGTAATCATATATACCTTAGCCAGGGTTTTCAAATAACTGTGATTAATCTGCTGTTAATATGCTCACAACTTTATTTGAAAATATTCTATCTCCTGAAAATAATAAAGCCATTCAATTTAAAAATAATATTTTTGTCATTTTAATAACTTTTAAAGTAATTTTATCATTTTGAATTTTAATAAAGGAAGTATTCCAAAATATTTTAAAAAAGTAGCTGGAGGGAACATATGTACTATGAATATTTGTGACAAATTTTACTCTTTTGTGATATGTGTTGGAAAGCTGTTGCCATTATTAGAACTTCCAAGTATAATATTTTTTCTGTTATTACTTTTAGTGACACATATTATGAAAATGGTGTAGACATAAACTGCAGGACTTGGTAAAATGAAGTATCCTTATAGAAAACTCTAGTGTTGAGTATTTTAAAATAACCTATAAAATTAAAATATAAATGTGCTATTAATAAAGAGATATTAACTTACTATAAAATGCCTACTCAAGTTCAATTTATGGCTGGTTTACTCTATACCACTGAATAAACTTCCTCAGTTTATTTTTTGTGGTTTTATAATTACCCAATTTAACAAAAGTAGCAGCATTATCTATGCTAACATGTGATATAATATAAATAAAATTCAGCCCAACTCTTTCTTATTGTTGAGAACAAGATTTTAACTCCTACCATATAAGCAACACAGAGTAGTCTTTAAAATTTTTGGTTATGGAATACATTTTCTGTATGTTCTAAGTCTGTAACATTAATTGAGTTATTGTAATGTTCTGAGAAAACATTTACACGTTTGTAAATGGAGCTAAGAAAATACAGGAATAGGGTGATGATCAAATGGGATAATACATGCAAATGTCCTATTTAGGGTCTTATAAATAAAAGAGACTTAAGCTTTAATGTATTGTTATTATTAACATTCAAAAGTATTAATTAACTATGTTTTCATTTGCATTGTGTTTCCATTAATATTAGTTATGGTGTCATGTATACTGTTTAGCAGAACCGAAACAAAAATAAAGTTAATGCTTGGAAATAATTCAGTTGTAACACATATCACGCATACACATTAGTTTGCAACTTACATTCTTATAATCTATCAAATAGGCAGTTTAATAAATAGCAAGATATGCTTTATTATATAGTAGGCATACATAATATGGTGTCTATTATATAATGAAGTTTAAAATGAATAAAAATATCCTAAAATATTGGATAAATTGTTACGGATTTTGTAATATCAAATTTAAATTAAAAGTCCCATTAAAATATAATTATGTGGAACAAAAAAATTAAGGTACCTATTTAATTTACTTTGGGCATATGGATATAGCTTCATGACACTAAATATAGAAACCATAAAGGAACATACAGAGGGATGGCAGATGAAAGTAAATTAAAATTACAACTCAAGGAGGGTAAAATAAAAATTAATACAAAAATGAAATTGATAAAATAGAAAGGTATGAAAAGTATTTGTATTATAAGTGATAAGAACTCATTAATAATGTGGAAACAATTCAATATAGAAAATGAATAACTCAAAGGGGGAGGAAGTTAATGTATGTTCAGAAAAAAATCACAAAAACCGTCCAATAAATAAGCAGAAATAGATGTATTCTTACTAATATTTAAAGAAGTACAAACTAACGTGAGGTTACAATGTGGAAATTTTAGATTGTAAGATGATGAAGCATAATAATAATGGCAGGTTTTGAGGCCTCACCCTCTCTTCCCCTTCCTTTTCCTCTCTCCCTCTCTCTTTTCCTTCCTCCCTCTTTTTTTCCCTCTGTCGCCTCAGCCTTGTCTCTCTGCCAGGTGTCCCCTTCAGTGCAGCTTCAAAGAAGCCCCGGAGACAGGGGGGCCATGTTAAAAGTTTGTTCATAGTTTTAAGACAGAAGGGGTGAGAATAGTGGTGGGGGTCTTGCACCATGCTTCTCTCCCTTCCTTCCCATCCCAGGTCCTCTTCGCACACTTTTCTGCCGGCTCAGTAATGAAGTATATTTATTGATTAAAAAAATAGCTGCTGCTGCTGCTTGTCTCGTCTCCATCATCTTTTTCTAGCCAGGAAGAGGAGAGGAGTATTGGAGCCCAAGCATCCTTCTCTTTCCACCCATCATTTCTTCTTCCTCTGCCTACTGCCTCCTGATGCCAGGAGAGTGAGGGTAACACAATTGACTAAACTAAACTCTTCTGTTCTAAACAAACAGACAAACCACAGATGCCATCAGACACAAGGCCCTATCTATTCTCTGCATAACTCCTTCCTTGTAGATATAGACATGCCACCCCATACCGCTTTCATCTTTCTCCTCCAAGGTTGTTAGACCTCACAGGCTGTGATGAATGTATCACAAAAACCTTTGATTTCTTCATGTTCTGAACTATCTTAGATTTTGAAGGGGCCACCAAAATTTCTTAGGCTAAAGGTGTATCTCTCGGGTGTATATAAAGATGGTGGGACTAAGGAACAGTTTCTACTTTCAGAGAAAACATCCACCTTGGTCATCTTTATGACATTGGACTTCTTTCTACACTTTGGAGACAGGATCTTCTTGAAGAAGTGTTGTTGGTTAGTGATGAACAGCCCCAATATTTTCCTGTTTGGGGTTATGGTAGCTCCAGTGATGTGATTTGTTCCAATCATTTATATCCTGGGAATATGGTACTGATATCCAAGCCAAGGAACAATCTAAGGAATGCCTTGACTACCAGAATCTGGAAGAGGCAAGGAAGTATCCTCTCCTACAGTCCCCAAAGAGAGTATGGCCCAGCCATTATCTTAATTTCTGACTTCTTGTCCCAGAACTGTGAGAGAATAAATTTATATTGTTTTAAGCCACTCAGTTCGAAGTAACAGTAACTCTAAGAAACTAATACACATAGTAATTTCACTTGATTAATTTTTGCTGTGGAAACAATCTACTAAATATGTGAAAGTACATATTGGACATTAGCCTTGCTATTGCTTAAATAGCAAAAATATCTAAGTTATGTATATGTAGGTTATGGATGAGTTATGAAACACTATATATATCAAGAATGAAATAAATCTCTACTAATAGTCATTAAAGCCTGTGAGTGCATAACAGATTATAATCCAACATGCACAATTGATAAATTGATTTTGTTTTTCATCTAATCATAGCTACACACAAATACATGTGTACACACACACACATTAAATAAAAGTTAAAATTATGCACATCAACACAAAATAGTATGATTTTATTATGTTTCTGTGTTAGTATTGAGTGATCTTGATATTTTTATACATTTTATAATTGAACAAAATTCTTTTATACAATAACCACATATTCATAATTTTTAATTACAATTAAAGAAGCAAATATATTTTAATTTAGGAAAAAAGATAAGAGTTCATATCTAAGAAATGCCTACGTTTATTAAATTTCCCTGCTTTAGAATTCCACAGAAGATTAATGATATAAAAATTTTGCGATGATTGGTAAGACTAGGACAAATTCATACATACTTATATTTTAATAGATTTTAAGCCTGATTTAATGAAGTTTTAATGTTATACTTCATAACACACCAGTATATCCTCTATAGTATGAAAGATAGTAATTGGAATATATGGTCCAATTCACTTTCAATTAGTGATATACTATTTCATACTAAAACTAGTTCTGCTGCTAAATCATTTCATTTGCAGAATTCTAATTGGATTTTATAATGACAATTCAGAGAAATTATCTGGTAGAATTTCATAGTTATTTCTATTTCTCTTTATAATAATGTTATTAATTATTGAATCTATCAACTCCAAATTGTACACAAAGATTAGTTGTTTAATTGCTTAATTATAAGAAATAAGCTAAAAGCAACTGTTAGTGTAATTTCATAAATGAAACATATATTTGATGACCAAATACAACATAATATGATTGACAGCAATGTTAAAAAGTGCTTGTTTTTCAAACATCAACTTTTTCTTTTTTTTTTTTTTCCAACAAAGAATCTGATTTATTTTTAAAGTGGCCAAAGTATAGGAACATTATTTAATTTTTAGAAATCTTGATTGTAAAAAAATTTTTAAAAATGTGATTTGATAGCTTATTTAATTTTTGTGAGTATTTTTTTTATTATACTTTAAGTTTTAGGGTACATGTGCACATTGTGCAGGTTAGTTACATATGTATACATGTGCCATGCTGGTGCACTGCACCCACTAACTCGTCATCTAGCATTAGGTATATCTCCTAATGCTATCCCTCCCCCCTCCCCCCACCCCACAACAGTCCCCAATGTGATATTGCCCTTCCTGTGTCCATGTGTTCTCATTGTTCAATTCCCACCTATGAGTGAGAATATGCGGTGTTTGGTTTTTTGTTCTTGCGATAGTTTACTGAGAATGATGTTTTCCAATTTCATCCATGTCCCTACAAAGGACATGAACTCATCATTTTTTATGGCTGCATAGTATTCCATGGTGTATATGTGCCACATTTTCTTAATCCAGTCTATCATTGTTGGACATTTGGGTTGGTTCCAAGTCTTTGCTATTGTGAATAATGCCGCAATAAACATACGTGTGCATGCAAACATCAACTTTTTCTTACAGACATCAATAATATTGGTAGTTTCAAAAGAGGAATCAAACTTTTCAAATAAAAATTGCCTAAAATCTGAAATTAAAAATATGGTTTACAGATAATTGTAAACAAATTGTTCTAAAAACATTTTTAAACATATAGTAATTTTTTTAAATGTCTTATTTTCAAATAAATAAAATAACTTAGAAGAAATTATTCAAATATTCTTATATTAAACACATGTAATATCAAAAATTTCTGTATCAGGCTAAATGTGAAAAAAATAAATCCAGAAACAATTATAGGAGATTATCTGTATTTGAATAGCAGAATCATATAGAATAGGAGTTTAGTGAATTAATTAGTAAATGTTTGAACTATATGGAAATTCTTATATTAATATAAGATGATGTGCCATTTTTATTGTTTACCTTTTGTTACAATTAAAATAGGTATTGAATAGAATAGACATCTATAATCTTTGAAAATAGATGACATAATTTCAAGATGATATAATTTTTAAACTATAATAATAATGACTTCTAGGATAGTGAAAAAATTTATTAATGTGATTATTAAAAAATAAATAAAAATTACATTGTTTTAAGTAAAAGATAATGATTTTGAAAATATGTCCAATGCCATTAGTAATATTAAAAGGATTACAATATATATCATAGTAATAAACTTACCAAGAAATGAAAAAGTCTCACATAAAGAATAATAGAAAACTATAATATATTCAAAATATATATAATATAATCATAATATAATATATTCAAAATGAAGCTTAGAGAAATATACAATATCTCTCAATGGAAAAATCATGTAAATAATTCCAATTAAAGGTACACCTCAATTTATTGTGCTTTGTAGAGATTGCATTTTTTTGCAAATTGAAGGTTTGTGGCAGCCCTGCCTTCAGCAAATCTATTGGCACCATTTTTCCTACATCATGTGTTCACTTCATGCTTTTTGTGACACTTGAGTAAGTCTTGCAATATTATAAGCTTTTTTGTTGTTATATTTGTTATGGTGAGCAGTGATTAGAGATCATGATGTTACTATTGTAATTATTTTGGTACACCTCAAACCATGCCAGAAAGACGGCAAAGTTAATCAATATATGTTGTGTGTGTTCTGACTGCTCCACCTGCCAGCCATTTCCCCATTTCTCTCCTTCCTCAGGCTTCCTTATTCCCTGGAGCATAACAATATTAAAATTAGGCCAATTAATAATCCTACAACAGCCTCTAAGTGTTCAGCTGAAAGGAAGAGTCCCATGTCTCTCACTTTAAATGAAAAGCTAGAAATGATTAAGTTTAATGAGGAAGCCATGTGGAAAGCTAAGATAAGCTAAATGCTAGGCCTCTTGTGCCAAACAGTTAGCTAAGTTGTGAAAGCAAAGAAAAGTTCTTGAAAGAAATTTAAAAAGCTACTCCAGTGAACACACAGATGATAAGGAAGCAAACCAGCCTTATTGCTGATATGGAGAAGGTTTTAGCAGTTTGGATGGAAGGTTAAATCAGTCACAACATTCTCTTAAACCGAAACCAAATCCAAAGCAAGACCCCTATTCTCTTCAAGTCTATGAAGGCGGAGAGAGGTGAGGAAGCTGCAGAAGAAAAGTTTGAAGCTAGCAGATACTGATTCATGAGGTTTAAGAAAAGAAGTCATTTTTGGGACTTGAGTGCAAGGTAAAGCAGCAAGTGCTAATGTAGAAACCACAGCTAGTTATCCAGAAAAATCTAGCTAAGATCGTTGATGAAGGTGGATATGCTAAACAGCAGGTTTTCAATTTAACTGAAGACAAATAGGAACAAAACAGACTTATATAAGAAGATGTCATCTAGGACTTTCATAGCTGAAGAGGAGAAGTCAATGCCTGGATTCAAAGCTTCAAATGACAAGCTGACCCTCTTTTAAAGGTTAATGCATCTGTTGACTTTAAGTTGAAGCCAATGCTTACTTACTATTTAAACATTTTAGGGCCCTTAAGAAGTATGCTAAATTTACTCTGCTTGTACTCTATAAATGTAATTATAAAGCCGGGATGACAGCACATCTGTTTATAGTATGGTTAACTGAATATTTTAAGCCCACTGTTGAGAACTAATGCTCAGAAAAAAAAAACATATTTATTTCAAAATGTAATGCTCATTAACAATGAACCTAGTCACCCAAGAGTTCTAATGGAGATGTATCAGAAGATTCATGTTGTTTTTATGCATAACATCACATCCGTTCTTCAGCCCATGGATCACAGAGTGATGTCAACTTTCAAGTCTCATTATTTAAGAAATAGATTTTTAAGAGCTACAACTGCCATTGAGATTGATTCATCTGGTGGACCCAAACAAAGTCAATGAAAACCTTCTGGAAAAGATTCACTATTCTAGATCCCATTAAGAATATTTATAATTTATTGGAGGAGATAGAAATGTAATGCTTGATATGGTAGAAATAACAAGATAGCTAGAATTACAAGTAGGGCTTCAAGATGTGACTGAATTACTGAAATCTCATAATAATAAATGAAGAGTGGCTTCTTAAGGATGAGCACAGAAAGTGATTTCTTTCGATGAAATCAACTCCTGTTGAAAAAGCTATGAACATTGTTGAACTGACAATGAAGGATTTGAAATATTACACACACTTAGTTGATAAAGCAGCAGCAGAGTTTGAAGGAACTGACTCCAATTTTGAAAGATCTGTGTGTAAAATGCTATGAAACAGCTTTACATGCTACAGAAAAATATTTTGTGAAGGAAAGAATCAATTTATGTAGCAGACTTGTTTATTATTTTGCGAGGTTCCCACAGCCACCCTAACCTTCAGCAACCACTGTCCTGATAAATCAGCAGTCATCAACTAGAAAGCAAGACCCTCCACCATCAAAAAGACTACAATTTACCAAAGGCTGTGATGCTCATTACCATTGTTTAAAAATAAAATATTTTTAACTAAGATATGTACATTTTTTAGACATGATGCTATAGCACACCAAATAGACTACAAAATAGTTTTAATATGACTTAATATGACTCACTTTACTGTGATATTGGTCTTATTGTTTTGTTCTGAATGAAACCCACAGCATCTCTGAGGTATGCCTATTATTACAAATATTTCTCTCCATCCTATTACTCTTGTTTTCTTTTTTTTTTAAATCTTCCATTTAGGCATAGCATACTTTTAGATTAACTCTTGAACAAAGTGAAAGGTTAGAGTGTGTGTGTGCGTGTGTGTGTACTCATGGTTGCAATTTAAGACTATTCTGAGTAGAGAAGTCACTGATCTGGAAAGTGTAAGTGACTCAGATTGCTGCAGGGAGTCCTGTCTGCTGCCATTAACTCTTACCTCCATAACGAAAACCTATGAGTAAAGAAAGCTTCTCACAACAGGTTGTGACCACTATCTATGATAGTGCAAAGGATTATAACTAGAGTGATACAATAGAGAAAATGAGGCAGAAAATCTGGATCAGAAAGCCTGAAAACTAAATATCAAATACATGTGTTTATTTAAAAGGTAATTGAAATAAAGATTTAGCCTCACATTTTAGATTTTATTTATTACTGACTATGCAGAATAATTACCTACCTATACAATCTCTAATAAGGCTCCTCCAAACCAATTTTAAATATTGTGATAATACATATGTGATAGTAAATAGGATAGTTTAACTGGAAATAATATAATGTGAAACAGTATTATTAAGAAAATACTTGAGCACGGTCTATACAAATTTATATGCTAAAACATAGCACTACAGAATCTCTTGATACTTAACTGATACATAAAAGAGCTTCTATGACAATTATACTTTTTAATGTCAAGGTAGATTAAATTTCTTACTTATTCTCTGATTTTGTAAATGCTATTTATAAACTTTATATTTGTATGAATTTATTTGAAACCCTTCAATATATAGAATTTTCTTAGTATTTAATTCAATATTAAGAAATGAATATAAGTTGACTGTTCTTATAAAGAAGAAGAATACTTATTGCCATAATTATAGAAGTTTTTCTGAGTATCTGAGATTCTGAGAAAGGAAGTCAACCTTTTTGTGAAGGCCACTGAACCAATTTATAGCCAACCAGCCATCCAAAAATTCTGATAGTTCTGGTTCTATTTATGGGCTGAAAGAAGATAGAGCTTCCCTTATTATTATTATTATTTTTACATTCTTTTTTTTTTTTTTTTTTTTTTGAGACGGAGTCTCGCTCTGTCGCCCAGGCCGGACTGCGGACTGCAGTGGCGCAATCTCGGGTCACTGCAAGCTCCGCTTCCCGGGTTCACGCCATTCTCCCGCCTCAGCCTCCCCAGTAGCTGGGACTACAGGCGCCCGCCACCGCGCCCGGCTAATTTTTTGTATTTTTAGTAGAGACGGGGTTTCACCTTGTTAGCCAGGATGGTCTCGATCTCCTGACCTCATGATCCACCCGCCTCGGCCTCCCAAAGTGCTGGGATTACAGGCGTGAGCCACCGCGCCCGGCCCTATTTTTACATTCTTAAGACATGTCAAGAAATTTTGATTCACAATGTGACTAAAACTGTACATTTTGAGGATTATATATCACACATGCTAATTTTCCTGTGTTTTGCTTATGCAGTGGTTAAATATTTTTACTCAAATATTCTAATAAAGCATGAAACTGGCATTATTAAAACAATCATAAAAATGATTTCTGGTGTAACCATTTTTTTCTAGATAATAGTTCACATTTTAAATAACTTTTATATCAACTTGTCAAGATAAACATAATAATTCTATTCATATAATCATACTTGAGGTTATGGATCCCCAAAAAGATAAGCTTCTAAAAGATAAGCTTTTAGAAAGCTCTCATTTTACAGATATGAAAAAAAGAGGTTGCAAGCACTTTAATAACTTAAAGACGATCTCACAATTAATGCAAAGTCAAGACTACAAGCCAAAAATTGATTTTTAATTATTCAACTTTATCCACTATTATTTTTGCATCTACATTTGAAACAACAAAAATGGAATTTTAAAATTGGTTTAAAATGTAACACAAATACAGCAACTGTGAATATTCTGTCACATTTCCAGCATTAAACGATGTTTTTTAACCATTGTCTTCCCAAATGAAATTATTTAATTCATTACATATTAGGTTCAAATTGACTTCCTCCAGTTCCTGTAACGTGTAAGCATTTAGAATCAGTAAACACAAATCACCATTAATTGGCACATGTGTTTTGCATATAGATTTTTTATTGTGGCCATATATATGTGTGTACACACACACACATACTACTATATATATTGTGGATATATATATATAACTATTTCCAAATATTTCCAGAAACTAGGCACCTCTTAAACAATAACTTTCCGGTATCTTTCTTTTGACCCTAGAAATCTTTAATCTACTTTTTGTCTTTATGGATTTGCCTCTTCTAGATATTTTGTGCCCTATTTGTCCTTTTGGTGTGGCTGATTTTACTACAAATATTGTCTTAGAAGTCCATCTGTATTATACTGTGCATGAAAACTTTAACTTTTTTTGGCTAAATAATTGTCCAGTGTGTGTGAATACTACATTTTATTTAGTTATTAATCTGTTGATGGACGTGTGTGCTTTTTACCTTTTGTATATTTTGAATAATTTCACAATAAACATTTATGTATAAGAGTCTGCTTAAACCCCCATTTTTTTTAAATTTTAGGAGGTATATACCTAGAATTGAAATTTCTAGATCATATGGTAATTCCATGCTTAATTTTTTGAGTAATTTCCAAACTGTTTTCTATACTGGCTACACCATTTTACATTCCTACCAGCAATGAACAAGGGTTCTGGTCTCTTCAAATTTTTGCCAACAATTATTAATTTCCATTATTATTATTATTATCACCAACATCCTAGTACATGCGATGTAATATCTCATTGTGACTTTGGTTTGCATTACTCTGATGGCTAATTATGTTAAACATCTTTTTTATATGCAAATTACCTATTTTAATACAGTTTTGAAGAAATAATTCATTTGCCTTTTTTTTAAAATGGGTTATATTTTTGTTAAGTTGTAGAAGTTATAGATATTCTGAATATTAAAGCTTCATCAGATGTAAACTATGCAAATATTTTTCCAAATATTGGTTATGTTTCAAATATAGTTTTAATGTGTTTTAAATAAAGTAATTCATATAAAATTTTCTTTTTAAAAATAACATTGTAAAGAACTGCCAAAGTAACAGTAAAATTTATTAAATTTACAAGGTACTGTGAGTGTTAGAATTACTGATGAGGCTACAAGTTGTTTTTGATAATTGTTCCTCAGTTTCCTTTTGTTAGAAAAAGGAAGATTGGTATTCAACCATTCCAATAAATAGTATGAGTCATGATCATCATTTTAAATTCATGAAAACACTGCTTAAAGAAAGAGATGCTCAATAAGTACACATTCTACATTTGCCAGAAAATTCTGGCAAAAGCATCGAGCAAACTAGGAATAAAAACTACCTTAATTAATATAATGACTGATATGTTAGAAATTATCACAAGAAACATTATGGTAATCCAACAACATTACGGTAAACAAACAATATATTGTTGTGAACAAAACATTCTCTTAAAAGGAATTTGGAAGGAATACATTGTATTCCAGTGAACAGTTTGAAAACCAGGGGAAAGGTAGTCTTTAGTGTAAAATGAAGGTCTGTCTCAGAGGAAAAATAGAGGGTTCAGGTTTTACAGCCACAGTTCCATCCCAGGTTTCCAATAAGATTTGTTTATCCAAATGAAGGATTCAAACTGACATTGCTAAGTTCTGATTGGTTGATAGAGCTGAGTTCTGATTGGCTGGGGCAAGTGAGCACTGATTGGTTGGTTCCCAAGCCCAAAACCAGAAATTCGTATCAGATTTTTTTTTTTTTTCTCAAAGCTCAACAGGAACTGGTTTGGATTCCTTATAGAAAGGAAGGTCTTGGCTGGGCGCGGTAGCTCATGCCGGTAATCCCAGCACTTTGGGAGGCCAGAGGCGGGCATATCATGAGGTCAGGAGATCGAGACCATCCTGGCTAACATGGTGAAACCCCGTCTCTACTACAAAATACAAAAAATTAGCCGGGCGTAGTGGCGGGCACCTGTAGTCCCAGCTACTGAGGAGGCTGAGGCAGGAGAATGGCGTGAATCTGGGAGGCGGAGCTTGCAGTGAGACAAGATCACACCGCTGCACTCCAGCCTGGGCGACAGAGCGAGACTCCGTCTCAAAAAAAAAAAAAAAAAAAGGAAGGTCTCATCATACAGTGACAACATCTTTGAGAACATGTGACTACTCTCCCTGAAACATGACCACCTGGCTCTGTTTTAACTTTAAGAACCTCCGTTAGCCACAAGTACTCCATTTTGTTTGTTGGCTGGAGTGTGCTTTAGCATTGTTAACATTAAAAAATATTAAAAATATCACTGTTGAATCAGGAGCACTGTGGCCATGAATCACTTGCTGTAGTCAACATTTAGCAGAAGGTATAGTCAGAACTGAGAAATGAAAAAATAAAAGGCATAAATCAAGAAGATGAAACCAAATATTCACTATCTTTAATTTAGATAACTATATAGAAAAATCCATAAGAAACTGTGGAATAATAACTAGATATTATAATTGAGTTCAGGAAAACTTCCCTAGAAAAAGCCAGTACTAAAACCAATTGTATTCCCATGTAGACTATAAAAAATATGTTAATCAGAAATAAGCATGTATTATTTACAAAAATAATACAAACCATAAACTACCTAATAATAACTTTGGCAAAAAGCAGCAACTTTATGAACAAAGAATTACCGTTAAGGAAACACATAAATTAGGGATAAGTTAATAGAAATATAATCATGTAGTATTTGTAGGATAACTTACTCAAAATTATTTTAAATGGAAAATAAACTCATAAGATTTATATTAAATATGTTTGAAGATTGTTACCTTTTAGGATTTTAAATGTTGCACTTATCCCATTATATTTTTAATTATATTTTTTCTTTTACATTCTTTTATATTATTCATATAAATATTATATATTTATATTATATTTTTATATTTAAGTCATGTTTTGATAGTGCCATATAGAAAGTATAGATTATGATAGTAATTTATTTGATATAAGGAAATTTTAAAGAAAGGTAAAACATTAATCAAATAAACATTCTCTGAGAAATTATTTTTTCAGTGATCTAGCAGCCTAGAATCTGAAAATCATGTGCAGGGAGTTCAGTGAGATGTTCCAAATATGTTATTTATAGTAAAAAAGTAAAGCTATTAGGTAGTAATGGCTTTCAAGAGGTACAACATGAAATCAACAGTGAATGCCGTGATTGACAGAACATGTTATGAGCAGGGACCAAAGCTAGCTAATGTAATTAATGTTTGACATCATTTATTGGGAACCATCAATGAATAACGGAACCTGGCTCTTGTCTGTATTTTCAGGTATGCTGACAGATCACAAGATTATAGATATGAAAAGGGACAATAAATTATGTCTTAAGTAAAATAAATTGCCAGGTAAATAGCATTATGCATAAAGACTTCTAAATGAAAATTTTGCATAGAAAAGTACCTACCTTCAAATGTTCATGTAGCCATTTCACCATTAAAGCCTTCACTTTGACACAAACAAACAAAATAGCACCACCATGACATATATGCAGATATTTCCTAAGTCTAAAGTAGGCAGTTTTTCTCTGTTTGTTTACGTTATTTATGCAGAAGATCTGAAGGTCAGAAATTATTCTTATTTTTGTTTCAGAGTTTATTGATTTAATTTGTTCAAAAATACAGCATAATTTAATATTTGTATAATAACAAGTATTCTATTTAAAGCATTCTAAAAATTTAAATATTTTAACACCTTTAATGCTCTTTTGTAATTTTATGAAGTAAATATATTCTATGCAAAAGTGCACTCTGTTCCAAGAGTAGATTTGCTAATCTAGAAAAATAAAAATATTTGTTTTAGTATAAACACATTGTCACAACAGTGTGGTTTCACGGGAACTTTGGGAAGAGAGTAATTTTGAAAAAAAAAATCTGTGAATTGACTCAACCATACAGTGAGAATATTAATAACATCTCTGTTCTTCAGGTGACTAAGTCACTTGGGGAGGTTAACTAACTTGTTTAGGAATACAGAAATAGTATAAAGTAAAAAATAATTGAAATTAAAAACAAACCTAATTCTATCCATAACCAGTACTTTAATAATTTTATTATTTTGCAACAATTGAGGAGGATATAACATAGGTTTTGAGAGATAATGATAGCTCATTGAAGATTTTCTACACCAGGAAAAAAGGCATAAAATAGATTTGTTTATACATATATTATTATACTTATTGTTTACATGTTTTAAACAACAAAGTTGCTGCTCTTATTATTTTAAGTATAATATTATTAGGTATTTTTTATATTTCAGAAAGTGAAATTGAGTAACCTATTGAGAGAGGGCAAATGTATTATGAGTATATAAGTGTATTTATAATTGTTTAGTTTCACTTATACCAATGAGGAGCGTGATTATTAGTCAACCACTTTCCTATTTAAGTTTTGATATGTATATATTTGTTCTTCTTTGATACATGTAAGTGTTTTATTTTTTCATGCACAAGTGGCTGATGCACACATAGTATGATTAAAAATCTTTTATATGTATGACGGCCAAATAGTTTGCTTATAGATTTTTTTTCTATAAAAGTACATTCTGAAAATCAAGTACACAGAATTGCAAGACAAACTCTGCCTTAAAGTGCTTACATATCTCTGAGAGCCAGGTATAGGGAAACAAAAGGATAAAAACCAAAAAGAACAACAAAAAAATGCGTTCATATAAGTTACATTAAAAACTGTTTTTTAACTTGTGAATCTTTATTGTTTCAGCTTGACGCAGAACATGAAGTGAAAATAAGGTTGCTAACACTGTTTGAGAAAGGCACATTCAAGGCAGTGAGAATTAAAATAAAAATAAAAATGATGAAGGATTCTAACGAGTCATATTTTGTGACTTGCCTCACTGGCTACTACTTAATAAAGCCATTTGGATCTCAGGAATTGAGGGTTGCATCTATTAAGCCTCTAACTGGACACTCTGGAAACCTCCTAATTCTGATGATGTGTTATTTCATCAAGCTCAAAAGTGGAGCTGTCACCCAGTGAAAATGAAGCACTGACCAAAAGAAAAAACTGATAATCAAAGGAGACCATAGAAGAGAATATAGTTTGCTTTTCTAATAGCATTTGGATCCAACTGTGTTCTTCCACTGTATCTTGTTTCAATTTAAAAAAATACTGAGACTCCAATATCAGTGTGAGAACAGTTTCTCTAACTCATTTTTGAAGAGAAAAAAACAAGTAGAATTAGCATTCTTTTTATAACAGTAATCAGCTATAATCACCTGGAGGACTATACAGGAGTCTTCCAGAAGATTATAGCTGATTACTATTATAAAAATGATAAAATAATTATTTTTTAGTACACCAATTTATAGTTGCCACTGCTGGAGCTGACCCTGAGCCATTTACAGATAATTCTTATCTCCTGCCTTTAAAACTTATTCTAGATTCTTCTCATTCTTGATGGTAAAGCACTCTATTGTTCTGATGTGGCTTGGTTATGTGTGTTGTAGTTCCCCGTTGACATTACTGAGTATGGAGTTTTGCCCAGTAAATCCTCTGGCTTCCATATTCATCACTGCTCCTAATGTGTTATAGCACCCCAAAATCTTTGTGGTAATCAGGCTAAGCCATTCTAACCAATAACTCTCTGTGACTTCTTCATCAAAGAAAATGTATCACTAAAAGCCAGTTGGTAGTCACAAAACAAGTTTAAATGAAGCCTTATTGTGCCCATTGAAGAAAATGTTCCCCCAAACATGCCAGAGTCCAAATTAGAAGAAGTAGTAAACACAAATGCAAGTGACTAAAGGAAGGGCCATTGCTAACTTTACCCTGAGATTCACATGTTTTGGACATAGAGACAGTGACCTGTGAATCAGTTATTCATTCAAGAGATGTTCTGAATCCTGGAGGGCATACACTAGCTTCACCAAGAGATGAAGTTACTTTTTTTTTCTTTTTTGAGACAGAGTCTCTCTCGCTTTGTCACCCAGGCTGGAGTGCAGTGGCGCAATCTCGGCTCACTGCAAGCTCCGCCTTCCGGGTTCACGCCATTCTCCTGCCTCAGCCTCCCGAGTAGCTGGGACTACAGGTGCCCGCCACCACGCCCGGGTAATTTTTTGTATTTTTAGTAGAGACGGGGTTTCACCCTGTTAGCCAGGATCGTTTCGATCTCCTGACCTCGTAATCCACCCGCCTCAGCCTCCCAAAGTGCTGGGATTACAGGCGTGAGCCACCGCGCCCGGCCGAGATGAAGTTACTTTAAATAAGGCTTTAAATGTCTGTTTTAAACAACAAGTTAGTCAATTGCTTCTCGTTGATGGGGTACATGGTAAAATCAATGTGTCCTATGATCTGAACATCTTGGTGCCTCTTCTTCACTGTAAGATCAACCCACTGGTTCAAGCCAATGTTCTATGAAATGATGTCATAAAATAAGGCATCCTGTAAGCCCACAGATCATTGTACTGGTAGAGACATTATGATCAGTAAAGGCAAACTTATTCAGAGTGTATACCTGGTATACATTCAGAGTATATACCTGGTGTAATAAGAAAGTACTACTGCCCAATCAAAAGTTAAAGGCATTCCGATATCATTTATCCACTGCCAAGTTACTGGCTAGTCTTCCCATGGAAGTGTGTCAACCCTAGTCTATGCTGCTGACAGGTTAGTACTCAGTGATGGAAGTAGACAGAAAGCCGTACTGAGGAGAAGCCCGTGTTGTTGAGCTCAAACATTGCCCACTTTTGTTTGTGGGCTGATTGTACAAGCCCTGTATCGGAGGAGAAGATTTTCTGGCATCCAACACAAGCTTTGCCCCTTAGAGTACTAAACAGACAGACAAGACAAAAATATCTAAATGCTCTGAACTCATTTCCAGAAATCCAGCCACTTATATTTTTGTCAGACTTCCTTATCAATTTTCTAGGAATTGCTGTATGCAGGCTTGTGACCCACTTTCCCAGTCATTTATTAATTTTTTCAAGTCATTGTAGATTATTATCAGTACATTTTTTTTTATATACAAAGTAGATTATGAATTATACTGATCATAGGTCTGACTACTGGGAAAACTTCCTTTCACCACTCTTCTCTAGGACCATTCCTGAGGGACACTGTTATTTGGCAACAGATCCATTTCAGATTGAGCCAAAATACTCTGTGCACCAATTTGTAAACTAGGACTAAGTTGTTTCCTTCAATCTCAGTTGGTGGAAGTAACTTTCCAAAAGACATAGATGAGATTTGAGGGGGAGTTAGTATTGCTAAGAAGATAGAATGCATACTTAAATATCTGGGCTACTTGATGAAAATTTAAGTAATTTTAATACTACTAAATGTGGGAGTAACTATCATCCAATTTACCAACAGCTATTTGGTCTCTGTCACTTGCAGATAGATAAGAAATGTATCTATGAAAACCCAACTGGAGGTTCTATTTTCTAAAACTGTTTCACCACCAATTATCTGATTCTAAGTCCTCCAAAAATAAGATTAATAATATAATTAATATTCTAATACTTTGGGAGTATAATTTTAAGACAATGAGATTGAAGGAAAAGTTGAACTGAGGCAATAAAATATCTGACATGATGCATTACATCCTAAGCAAGAAAACACAATGACTTATTCAGCAGCACTTTGCACACAGCATATGGTATGTCTCAAAAAAGACACAAGAATGGAAACTCAGAGTACTTTACAGAAGACAAAAAAGATAGTTTATGTCTGTTACCTTGTCCCATTTTTCATTGATCAAGTTTTGTCTTACAACTTTAGATTTAATCATTTAACTTCTTGATAGCCATTCAGAATTCTAGAACCTATAATCCTCCATGTAGTGTTTCATCCAAATTTAAGGAGAGTAAAAAATGAAGGGAGAGAATACTGAGCAGGTGGAAAGGTGACTAAAAGAAAAACAAGGAGAGGCGGGGCCAAGATGGCTGACTAGAAGCAGCACCATTTGGAGGCTCCCATAGTAAAAAATCATAATAAGCATGTGAATCCTTCACCAGCAACCCAGGTATCCAGGTTGTCACATCAAAATTGACTAGAAACCTGGTGTGACCCAAGGAGAGAAGAAAGAACAGTGTGGTGTGGTGGCCCACCTGAGAGCCACTAGGGGCAGGGGAACCCTGCCCCCCAGCCAAGGGAGTTGGTGAGTGAGCATGCCACCCAGCCAGAGAAACTGTGCTTTTTCCACGTAACTGTGCAACCCATGGATTGGAAGATGCCACTAGTGAACCCATGCCACCAGGGTCTAGCGTCCCAACCCTGGAACAGCCAGAATCTTACAGCCTCAGCTGGAATCTGCTTAAGCCTACCAAATCCCTGGGGGAGGGGCAACAAGCACTGGCTGTGGCTGCTTGCTGTCTAAGCCATTTGAGCTCCTTAGAGGAGGGGCAGGAGCCAGCACGGGGACTCACAGCTGCCTAACACGATAAAGTCCCTGGGTGGGGGAAGGGCAGCACCCACTTCTATAGCTCCAGGCTGCACTTCTTACCTCCTGGAGCCAGGGAGGCTAGACAGCTTGGTCCCAAGACTTGTCCCCACAGTCCAACACAGCACCTGTGGCAGTCTGCGGCCAGAGTGCCTCTTCAGGTGTAACCCTGACCCATCTTTCCTCAGTGGGTGGAGCTTCCCTGCAGGAATTCCGAAAGACTCAGGGACGGAAATCAGATCTCCCTGGGCCTAAGCCCCTAGCGGGAGGGGTGGCCGCAGTCTCGGCAGACCAGCAGACTTAGCCTCTATTCCTGGTAGTTCTGAGGAATCTGGGCAGCCCAGATGAGTGGGTTTTCCCCAAGTGAAGCACACCCCCTCCACTGAGGGAGAAAGTGCTTCATTAAATGGGTCCTGTTCCCCGTGCCACCCAACTGGGTGAGACCCTCCAACAGGGGTTGTGAGACAACCTATACAGGAGCAATCTTACTGGCATCAGATTGGTGCCCCTCAAGGTCAGAGGTCCCAGAAGAAGCAATAGGCACCCATCTTTGCTGTTATCCAGCCTCCCTGAATGACATCTCCAGGCATGGGAGCAAATCAGATGAATAGGGCCTGAAGTGAACCCCCAACAAACTGCAGCAGCCCTACAGAAGAGGGACCTGACTACTGACAGAAAACAAACAAGCAGAAAGTGACAACAATGGCATCAACAACAACAACAACAACAAAAAGGCCACCATAAAAACCGCATCCAAGAGTCAGCAGCCCCAAACACTGAAACTAGACAATCTCAAAAAGATGAAAAAGCATAAGAAAATGCTGAAAACCAAAAAGACCAGAGTGCCTCCTCTCCTCCAAATGATCACGTCGTCTCTCCATGAAGGGTGCAGAACTGGACAGATGATCAGATGAACAAATTCACAGAAGTAGGCTTCAGAAGATGGGTAATAAAAAACTACAGTGAGCTAAAGGACCATGTTCTAACCCAACGCAAAGAAGCTAAGAACCTTAATAAGAGGTTACAGGAATTGCTAACAGAAATAACCAGTTTAGAGAGGAACATAATGACCTGATGGAGCTGAAATACACAGCACAAGGACTTCTTGGAGCAAAGGATATCACAGTTTGAAAACTACCTTACTGACATAGGACATACAGACAAAAATAGAGAAAAAAAGGATGAAAAGGAATGAACAAAGCCACCAAGAAATATGAGACTTCATAAAAATACCAAACCTACAATTGATTGGAGTACCAGGAGATGGGGAGAATGGAAATAAGCTGGAAAACACACGTCAGAATATTATCCAGGAAAACTTCCCCAACATAGCAAGACAGGCCAACATGCAAATTCAGGAAATACAGAGAACACCATTAAGATACTCCACAAGAAGATAAAAGGCAAGAAAAATAATCATCAGATTCTCCAAGGTTGAAATGAAAAAAACAAACAAATAAACAAAAAAACCGTTAAGGGCATCCGGAGAGAAAGGCCAGGTCACCTGCAAAGGGAAGCCCACCAGACTAACAGTGGACCTCTCAGCAGAAACTCTACAAGCCAGAAGAGATTGGGGACCAATATTCGACATTGTTAAAGAAAAGAATTTTCAACCCAGAATGTCATATCCAGCTAAATTAAGCTTTGTAAGTGAAGGGGAAATAAAATTCTTTTCAGACAAGCAAATGCTGAAGAATTTTGTTATGAACAGGCTTGCCCTGCAAGAACTCCTGAAAGAAGCACTAACTATGGAAAGGAAAAGCTAGTACCAGCCAGCACTGCAAAAACACATCAAAATATAAAGACCAATGACACTATGAAGAAACTGCAACAGCTAGTGTGCAAAATAACCAAATAGCATCATGATAGGATCAAATTAACACATAACAATACTAACCTTAAATGTAAATGGGCTAAATGCCCCAATTAAAATACACAGATTGGCAAATTGGATAAGGAGTCAAGACTCAGTGGTGTGCTATATTCAGGAGACACATCTTATGTGCAAAGACAAACACAGGCTCAAAATAAAGGGATGGAGGAAAACTTACCAAGAAAATGGAAAGAAAAAAAAAAGAAAGAAAGCAGGGGTTTCAATCTTAGTCTCTGACATAACAGACTTTAAACCAACAAAGATCAAAAAAGAAAAAGAGGGGCATTGCATAATAGCAAAGGGAACAATTCAACAAGAAGAGCTAACTATTCTAAATATATATGCACCCAATACAGGAGCACCCAGATTTAGAAAACAAGTTCTTAGAGACCTACAAAGAGACTTAGATTCCCACGCAATAATAGTGGAAAACTTTAACACCCCACTGTTCGTATTAGACAGATCAACAAGACAGAAAATTAACAGGAATATTCAGCACTTGAACTCAGCCCTGAATTAAGTGGACCTAGTAGACATCTACATAACTCTCTACCCCAAATCAACAGAATATACATCCGTCTCAGTGCCACATGGCACTTATTCTAAAATCGGCCACATAATTGGAAGTAAAACACTCCTCAGCAAATGCAAAAGAACTGAAATCAAAACAAACAGTCTCTCAGACCACGGTGCAATCAAATTAGAACTCAGGATTAAGAAACTCACTCAAAATCACACAACTACATGGAAATAGAACAATCTGCTCTTGAATGATTCCTGGGTAAATAATGAAATTAAGGCAGAAATCAGTAAGTTATTTGAAACCAATGAGAACAAAGACACAACATACCAGAATCTCTGGGACACAACTAAAACAGTGTTAAGAGAAAAAATTACAGCATTAAATGCCCACATCAGAAAGCTGGAAAGATCTCAGATTGACACCCTATTATCACAATTAAAAAAGCTAGAGAGACAAGAGCAAACTAATCCAAGAGCTAGAAGAAAACAAGAAATAACTAAGATCAGAGAAGAATTGAAGGAGATAGAGACACGATAAAGCTTCCAAAAAATTAACGAATACAAGAGCTAGTTTTTGAAAAAAATAACAAAATATATAGACCACTAACTAGACTAATAAAGAAGAAGAGAGAGAAGAATCAAATAGACATAACAAAAAAATGGTAAAGGATATATCACCACTGACCCCACAGAAATACAAACCACCATCAGAGAATGCTATAAACACCTCTACATGAATAACTAGAAAATCTAGAAGAAATAGATAAATTCCTGGATGCATACACCCTACCAAGACTAAATCAGGAAGAATTAGAATCCCCGAATAGACCAATAACAAGTTCTGAAATTGAGGCAGTAATTAATAGCCTACCGGCCAAAAAAAAACCCAGGACCAGATGAATTCACAACTAAATTCTACCAGAAATATGAAGAGTTGGTACCATTCCTTCTGAAACTATTCCAAACCAGTGAAAAGGAGGGACTCCTACCTAACTCATTTTATGAAGCCAACATCATCCTGACACCAAAACTGGGAAGAGATACCACAAAAAAAGAAAAATTCCAGCCAATATCTCTGATGAACATCAATGCAAAAATCCTCAATAAAATACTGGCAAACAAATTCAGCAGCACATCAAGAAACTTATTCACCATAATCAAGCTGTTATCATCACTGGGATGCAAAGCTGGTTCAACATATGGAAATCAGTAAACATAATCAATCACATAAGCAGAATCAGTGATAAAAACACATGATTATCTCAATAAATGCAGAAAAGGCATTTGATGAAATTCGACATCTCTTCATGTTAAAACTCTCAATAAACTAGGTATTGATGGAACATATCTCAAAATAATAAGAGCTATTTGTGACAAACCCACAGCCAATATCATATTGAATGGGCAAAAGCTGGAAGCATTCCTTTTGAAAACTGCTACAAGACAAGGATGCCCTCTCTCACCACTCCTATTCAACATAATATTGGAAGTTCTGGCCAGGGTAATCAGACAAGAGAAAGAAAAAAAGCGTATTAAAATAAGCAAAGAGGAAGTCAAGTTGTGTCTATTTGCATATGACATGATTTTATATTTAGAAAATCCCATAATCTCAGCCCAAAACCTTGTTCAACTGGTAAGCAGCTTCAGCAAAGTCTCAGGATACAAAATCAATGTGAAAAAATTATAAGCATTTATTTACACCAAAACAGGCAAGCAGAGATCCAAATTATGAATAAACTCATATTCATAATCACTACAAAGAAAATAAAATTCCTAGGAATACAGCTAACGAGGGATGTGAAGAACCTTTTCAAGAGGAATTACAAACCACTGCTCAAGGAAATAAGAGAGGACACAATCAAATGAAAAAACATTCCTTCCTCGTGGATACGAAGAATTAATATCATGAAAATGGCAATACTGTCCAAAGTAATTTACAGATTCAATGCTATTCCCATCAAACTACCAATGACATTCTTCACAGAATTATGAAAAAGTATTACACGTTTCATATGAAACCAAAGAAGACCCCATGTAGCCAAGACAATCCTAAGCAAAAAAAAAAAAAAAATCAAAGCCAGAGGCATCACACTACCTGACTTCAAACGATACAAGGCTACAGTAGCCAAAATAGCATGGTACTGGTAGCAAAACAGATATATAGAGCAATGGAAGAGAAGAGAGATCTCAGAAATAAAACTACACACCTACAACCATCTGATCTTTGACAAACAAACAAACAATGGAGAAAGGATCTCCTTTTCAGTAAATGGTGCTGGGAAAACTGGCTAGTCATATGCAGAAAACTGAAACTTGGCCTCTTCCTTACACCTTATACAAAAATTAACTCAAGATGGATTAAAGACTTAAATTTAACCCCCAAAACTAAAAAAGCCTACATAGGCTATAAAACTATAAAACCCTAGAAAAAAACCTAGGCGATACCATACAGGACATAGGCATGGGCAAAGATTTCATGACTAAAACACCAAAAGCAATTGCAACAAAAGCCAAAATTGACAAATGGGATCTAGTTGAACTAAAGAGCTTCTGCACAGCAGAAGAAACTATCATCAATGTGAAGAGCAAACCTACAAAATGGGAGAAAATTTTTGCATCTACCCACCTGACAAAGGTCTAATATTCAGAATTTGTAAGGAACTAGCACATACGTACAAGAAAAAAACAAACAACCCCTTCAAAAAGTGGGCAAATAATATGAACAGACACTTCTCAAAAGAAGACATTTATTCAGCCAACAAACATATGAAAAAAAAAGCTCAACATTACTGATTATCAGAGAAATGCAAATCAAAACCACAATGAGATACCATCTCATGCCAGTCAGAATGGTGATTATTAATAAGTCAGGAAACAACAGATGCTGGTAAGGCTATGGAGAAATAGGAATGCTTTTACACTGTTGGTGGGAATGTAAATTAGTTCAACTACTGTGGAAGACAGTATGGTGATTCCACAAGAATCTAGAATCAGAAATACCATTTGACCCAGCAATCCCATTACTGAGTATATACCCAAAGAAATTTTTTACTATAAAGATGCATGCACACATATGTTTATCACAGCACTATTTACAATAGCAAAGACATGGAAACACCTAAATGTCCATCAATGATAGACTGGATAAAAAAAAATGTGGTACATATATACCATGGAATACTATGCAGCCACAAAAAGGAATAAGTTCATGTCCTTTGCAGGAACATGGATGAAGTTGGAAGCAATTATCCTCAGCAAACTAACAAAGGAACAGAAAACCAAACATTACATGTTCTCACTCATGAGTGGGAGTTGAACTTTGAGAACACATGGACACAGAGAAGGGAACAACACAAACCAGGGCCTGTTGGGTGTGGGGAGTGACGGGAGGAAACTTAGAAGACAGGTCAGTCAATAAGTGCAGCAAACCACCATGGCACATGTATACCTACGTAACAAACCTGCATGTTCTGCACATTTATCCCATTGTATTTTGTTTGTGTGTTTGTTTTAGAAGAAATAAGAAAAAAAAAAAAGGAAAACAAGGAGTAGTTGAAGTATTTCAATAAATAGAGGTTTGGGTACAAATACTAATATGTGATGAAATATGAAGCACACTGCTATGAAGCAGGAGAGGTGGCTTGTCACTCTCACTTTTATTAGATATAATAATCCTGGGCTGCTTAATCTGTCAGGATTTTAATTACAATTTCTGAAAAAAAATAGATCCGATAAGGAGCTGTTCGGTTGCTTATTAAATAGTAAGCATCTTATTAAGTAAAGGTTATTGTTTTCTGAGTTTACAAATGGGGCATTGTAACTCAGATAAGCAGTAAGATCAAACCTAGATATATATGGTAAGGGCAGTACTTAAACCTATGCTCATCTGATTCTAAATTCAGTATACTGAAACACTACTGACATTAAATAATGCTATATACATGATTGAATACTGGTGTTACCAAATAATGTTCTATATCATACACAGAAAATCAAATTATGGCCAACTCTGTTAAAAATAAATAGTCTTTTAAATAAGTCATCTTGTAATGCCTAAGGTTCTTGCCTAGCCATGCCAAAGAATTGGTGTGGCGGCTGACTGTGGCGAGTGGTAGAGATACGGACCGAGAGAGACAAAAAGCTGTAGGCTTTATTGAGCAGAGTGAAAGTACAAAGCTTCCACAATATAGAAGGGGTCCCGAACGGGTAGCTAGAGTTAGATTATACGATTGCCTTTTAAGCTCTTTAAGGCGGGAAATACGTGCGGTGGGAAGATTTTACCAGAGCGAGCAACAAAGGCAATTAACTATTTGTAACATGTCTTAGATCTTGAGGAAAACTGGAATTACAACTTAGGTTTTATTTACTTCATGACCTTGCAGTGGCATGGCAAAAGAGACAGGATCTTACAGGACTTTACAAAGTATGTTCACAAGGAATTGGAATTGGGAAGATAGATAAGGTCTGCTGGTCACAGAAAAACTGGCAGTTAACATTCTTTTTATTTTAGTTTTGGGGGAGGGGGAAGGGGGAGAGGAAAAGAGGACACAGGGAAACTTACAGCAAAATTTTCGTTGTTTATAGTTTTCTTGGGGAAGAAAACATATGCACAGATCCTGGTGTTAGGAATATTTTAAGCATATACCTTCAATATTATTCATCCAGGATCGAAGGAAGTCCTGATGCAGGAAATGAGTGAGTTTTACAGCTTTCTGAGCCCCTACTTGACCCAGGAAGCATAGCTGGCACCTCCTCTCAATCTCATTAAAACATACACACACACTTCCAGTTTTAGCTCCTGCGTGCAAAGATCGTGGAAGTTATCATTCCTGTCATATAAGATAAAAAGTGGACCAGGCACAGTGGCTTATTCCTGTAATTTCAGCCCTTTGGGAGGCCAAGGCAGGTGGATCACTTGAGGTTAGGAGGTCAAGGACCAGTCTGGCCAACATGTTGGAACCTCGACTCTACTAAAAATACAAGAATTAGTTGGGTGTGGTGGCACACACCTGTAATCCTAGCTACCCAGGAGGCTGAGGTGAAATAATTGCTTGAACCCGGGAGACAGAGGTTGCAGTGAACTGAGATGGCACCACTGTCCTCCATCTTGAGCCACAGTATAAGACTCCATCAAAAAAAAAAAGATAAAATAATCTGTGTCCTTTTTTAGAATTACCAGAGAAATACCATTACAGCCCAAACTGCCTCCCTGAAATTTGGAGAGGAAAACAAATACAGTCAAACCTGAGGTAGTTCACCCAAATCCTCTTTAGCCATATATTAGTAAGAGCATTTAAAAGGTAATTTTAATCAGTTGCCAGAGGCTGAGTGTGAATTAGCTTGCCAGTGAAAAAACACTTAGGGACTAGACTTAAGGGAACACCCCACTTCTATGGGTTTTGCCTCCAAAACTACATTAGCATCTTAAAGAGGAAGATAAAGAAACATTCCCCCTTGCTCCAGGCATAGAAAGAAAAAAAGTAGCCATTTGGTAATAACATTATCAATTAGATAGAACAATTAGACTATTCAGCACCATCTAGTCTTCCTGCCTTTACATAAAGGAAGAAAAGGAAGGACTAAAAATCACTTATGAAGTGATCATAGACACTCATAGACACTCAGGTCTTTTAAGGCCTAAAAGCATTAAAATTTGATTATAAGAGTTTAGATTATTTTCCTTCACATCAACTGATAAAAAGGCAGAGACTGAAAGAATATTTTTGATTCAAAAACAAAAATAAAAACAAACAACGAAACAATACCCAGATGTATTTTGTCTACCAGATACCCACTTTAAACATAAAATCATTGATAGTTTAAAAGTAAATAAATCAGAAAGATATACTATGCAAACATTAATCCAAAAATAGCAAAAGAGCTACATTAATTTTAGTCAAAGAGCTCTTAAGAGCAAGGTAATTACCAGGTGTAAAGAGGGGCATTACTTAATGATAAAGGGATCAGTTCTCCAAAAAATGTAGCAGTCCTAATGTGTACACATCTAAGAACAGAGTGTCAAAATATGTGAGACAAAAACTAATAGAACTGCTGGAAGGAATAGACAAATATATTATTATAGTTGAAGATTTTAACACTCTCCAATCAATGCTGTCATATCAAGCATAAAGAAAATCAGTAAAGCTATAGTAGAACTAAATAACAACACCAATCCACTAGAACTAATCAACATTTATAGAATATAAGATCCAATAATTTAAAAGTACATATTCTTCTCAAGAACACATGTAGAATTCACCAAGATGTTAATAGATGATATTCTGATACATAAACAAAACTTTCAGAATTTAAAAAAAAGAAAGAAATCGTATAAAGTGTGTTTGCAGAGCACAATAGAATTAAACTAGAAACCAATAACAGAAAAATAGCTACAATTACAAACTAGTATTATTTACATTAGCACGAACTTGTAAATTCTTAGGTAATAATTCACAAAATAATGTGTAAGAGCTGTATGAAGAAAAATGCAAAATTCTGATAAAAGAAAGAAAAAATCTCAATAAATAAATATATATTACATGTTCATGGATACCAAAGTGAGTATCAAAATGTCAGTTTTTTTCCAACTTGATTATAGGTTGAACACAATTCTATCCAAAATCCTAGCATGTTACTTTTTGGATACTGACAAACTGATTCTAAAGGTTTTATGGCTGGGTGCAGTAGCTGATGTCTGTAATCCCAGCACTTTGGAAGGCCTACATTGGTGGATTGCTTGAAGCCAGGAGTTGGACACCAGCCTGAGCAACAAAGCAAGACCCCATCTCTACAAAAACAAAAACCAAAACAATTAAAAAGATTAGCTAGTGGTGGGAGTGTGAGCCTATAGTCCCAAATACTCAAGAGGCTGAGACAATAGGATTGCTTCATCACCCAGGAGTTCAAGCCATTCAATATATATGTATACACATACATATATATTTTGTACATATGTGTATAAAGCATATATTAAATATTTTATATTATTTTTTCTATAAAACAAGTAAAATTCTGAAAGATATGGGTTTATTTTCTAAATTATTTTTACTACAAAGATTTATCATTCACTACAACAAACTATAGCTTATGTACTACTTTGCATTAATATACAAATTTTATCTTTTAAAATCAGGTAGTATGGCACTTAATGTGCTGTATACATTACTTTCCTAGTGGTTTTGTTGAGGGTTTTTGCATCTGTATTTATTAGTGATACTGGTCTGCAATTTTCTTTTCTTGTGGTGTCCTTGACTGGCTTTGGTATCAGGGTAATGTAATCGTGTTAATTATATTTGAAATGTGAAAGACAAACAAAATATTTAGCCCATAATATCAATAGCACTAAATTGAGAAAATCTTATTTAGAGAAAAGGATAGAGTAATTGAAAAAGAAAAATGGCAGATAGGAGGCAGAACAAACTTGAAGCTCCCACTCAGACAGAACAACATGTGGAGACTCATGTCGTGAACTTTTGCTCTAAGAACTATCAAGGGAACATACCAGGAAAATAAAAAAAACATGGAAGCTGGGTGAGATCTGTCACTGACCGCTTTCCCCCACTTCTCTGGTGGCCTATATGAAGAAGGAGAGGCAGCCATTATACCACTAGAAAGACAACACCATTAGCCTGATAATCTCACCCCCATGATCCCCATAGTGGCCACAGCAAGCGCCTCTCAAGGAGATTCTGGGCTTAGATCTGCCTAATCCCGTCCCCACTTGATATCCTTTCTCTACCTGGGCTGGTATCCAAAGACAAAATATATAATCTCATGGACACTCTACGTTTCTGCCCATCACCTGTGAAACCCAAACACTTATCCAGGTGACATTAGCGCAATATTTTATCCCCCCATACTACCATAGCTGATGCTTTCTTGAAAGCACCACCTCTTGGCTGGAGGCCTACCAACTCAAGCCATTACAGCAGTTCATAAAAGGCAACCCTGCTGTAAGAAAGGAAAAAATAACAGCTAATTCCACCGCCTGTAACATCGTGGCTAACCAGAGTTCCTGATGTGTCCGCATGACAACTTCACTGCTAGTACAACAAGAATTCATGAAAATCAGCAAAGTAAACAACACTACAACCAATGACCTTCATGAAGTCCACTTTACTCCCCTGCTACCTCTACTGGAGCAGGTGCTGGTATCCACAGCTGAGGGACCTGAAGATGGATCAGGTCACAGGACTCTGTGGAGACACTTCCCAGTACCAGCCCAGAGCCATATAGCTCCTCTGAGTGGCTAGACCCAGAAGAGCAATAACAATCACTACAGTTCAGCAATTAGGAAGCCCCAATCCTAGGTGAATGGGGAAAGCACCACATCAAGGGATCACCCAGTGTGACAAAATGATCTGAACAATAGCCCTTGAGTCATAGATCTTTCTTCTGACATAGTCTACCAAAATGAGAAGAAACCAGAAAAAGAATTCTGGTAATATGGCAAAGCAAGTTTCTTTAACACCCCGAAGACCACACTAGCTCTCCAACAATGGATCCAAACCAAGTAGAAATCTCTGAATTTCCAGGAAAAAAAAAAAAAATCAGAAGATTGACTATTAAGCTACTCAAGGAGACACCAGAGAAAGGTGAAATCTAAAAAATAAACTTTAAAAATAATACAGGATATATAGATTAAAAAAGTCCAGAGATATTGATAGCATAAATAAAAAACAATCACAACTTCTGGAAATAATTAGAGAAATGCAAAATACACTAGAAAGTTACAGCAATCAAATTGAACAGGTATAAGAAAGACTTCAGAGTTTGAAGACAAGACTTTTGACTTAACCCAATCCAACAATGACAAAGAAAAAAGAATAATATAAAAAGAACACAGTCTCCAAGAAGTTTGGGATTATGTTAAATAACCAAACATAAAAATAATTTGTATTCTTGCAGAAGAAGAGAAATCTAAGTTAGGAAAACTTATTTGAGGGAATAATTGAAGAAAACTTCCCTGGCCTTGCTTGAGATCTAGTCATCCAAGTACAAGAAGCCCAAAAATCACCCAGGAAATTCATCACAAAAAGATCATCACCTAGGCACATACTTACCAGGTTATTTAAAATCAAGACAAAGAAAATAATCTTAAGAGCTGTGAGGCAAAAGCATCAGGTATCTTACAAAAGAAAACCAATCAAATTAAAGGTAGATTTTTCTACAGAAATCCTATGAGCCTAAAGGGATTGGGGTCCTATTCTTAGCCCCCTTAAACAAAACAATTATCAGCCGAGAATTTTCTATCAGGCAAAACTAATCTTTATAAATGAAGGAAAGATAGAATCTTTTTCAGAAAACAAATGCTGAGAGAATTTGCCAGTACCATGCCAGCATTACAAGAATAAAAAATAAAAATAAATAAATAAATAAATAAAAACTTCTAAATCTTGAAACAAAAAGCTCAAAATACACCAAAATAGTGCCTCCTTAAAGCATAAATCTCACCAGATCTATAAAACAAAACACAATAAATTAAATTCAAAAAATACACAAAGTGTTCAAGAAACAAATAGCAAAATGAATAGACTAGTACCTCAAATCTAAATACTAATGGTGAATGTAAATGGCCTAAATGCTCCACGGGAAAGATACAGAATGTCAGAGTGTGTAAGAATTCAGGAACCAAGTATCTGTTGCCTTCAAGAGACTCACCTAACACATAAGATCTTACATAAAACTTTTCCACCTAAAGGGGTGGAAAATTATATTCCATGCAAATGGACACCAAAAGTGAACAGGAATAGCTATTCTTCTATCAGACTTTAAAGCAACAACAGTTGAAAAAGGCAGAGAAGGACATTATACAATGATAAAAGGACTAGTCCAACAGAAAAATATCACAATCCTAAATATATATGCACCTAACACTGGAGCTTCCAAATTTATAAAACAATTACTACCAGACCTAAGAAATGAGATAGACGACAATACAATAATTGTGGGGTACTTTAATATTCCACTGACAGCATTAGACAGTTTATCACAACAGAAAGTCAACACAGCAACAATGGACTGAAACTATACCATATAACAAATAAACTTGACAAATAATTACAGAACATTCTACCCAACAACTGCAGAATATACATTCTATTCATCAGCATATGGAATATTCTCCAAGATAGACCATATAATAGGCCACAAAATAAGTCTCAATAAATTTAAAGAAAATAAAATTCTATCAAGACCACAGGGAAATAAAATTGGAAATAAACTCCAAAAGAAACCATCTGATATGGCTGGGCTTTGTCCCCACCCAAATCTCATTTTGAATTGTAGCTCCCATAATTCCCACATGTTGTGGGAGGGACCTAGTGGGAGATAATTGAATCATGGGGGCGGGTCTTTCCCATGCTATTCTCATGATAGTGATTAACTCTCACAGGATCTGATGGTTTTTAAAAGGAAAGTTGCCCTGAACAAGTCCTCTTCTCTTGTCTGCCACCATATGAGATGTGCCTTTCACCTTCTTCCATGACTGTGAGGCCTCCTCAGCCTCATGGAACTGTGAGTCCATTAAACCTCTTTCTTTTGTAAATTGCCCAGTCTCAGGTATGTCTTCATCAACAGAATGAAAATGAACAAATACAGTAAGTTGGTACCCATAGAGTGAAGCCCACTGAAAAGACAGTTGCTCAAAAATGTGGAAGTAACTTTGGAACTGGGTAACAGGCAGAGGTTAGAACAGTTTGGAGGACTCAGAAAAAGACAGAAAAATGTGGGAAAGTTTGGAACTCCCTAGAGACTTGTTGAATGGCTTTGACAAAACTGGTGATAATGGTATGGACAATGAAATCCTGGCTGAGTTGGTCTCAGATAGAAATGAGGAATGTTTTGGAAACTGGAGCAAAAGTGACTCTTGTTATGTTTCAGCAAGGAGACTGGCAGCATTTTGCCCCTGCTGTAGAGATTTGTGGAACTTTGAACTTGAGAAAGATGATTTAGGGTGTCTGGTTTAAGAAATTTTTAAGCAGCAAAGCATTCAAGAGGTGACTTGGCTACTACTAAAGACATTCAGTTTCAAAAGGAAAACATAGCATAAAATTTTCAAAAATGTGGAGCCTGACAATGCGATAGAAAAGAAAAACCTGATTTCTGTGGAGAAATTCAAGCCTGTTGCAGAAATTGGCATAAGTACTGAGGAGCTGAATGGTAATCATCAGGAAAATGGGGAAAATGTCTCCAGGGCATGTCAGAGACCTTCACAGCAGTCCCTCTCATCACAGACGTAGAGGCCTAAAAGGAAAAAATGGTTTCACGGGCAAGGCCCAGGGTCCCTCTGCTGTGTGCAGTCTAGGGACTTGGTGACTTGCAGTGACTGAAAGGGGCCAAGTTACAGCTTGGGCCATGGCTTCAGAGGGTGTAAGCCCAAAGCCTTGGCAGATTCCTTGTGGTGTTGAGCCTACCAGTATGCAGAAGTCAAGAATTGAGGTTTGGAAACCTGTGCCTAGATTTCAGAGGCTGTTTGGAAATGCCTGTATGCCCAAGCAGATGTTTGCTGCAGGGGCAGGGCACTCATGGGTAACCTCTGCTAGGGCAGTGCAGAAGAAAAATGTGGGGTGGGCACACCCACACAGAGTCCCTACTGAGATGCTGTTTAGTGAAGCTGTGAGAAGAGAACCACCATTTTCTAGACCCCAGAATGGCAGATCAGTCAGCTCTGTACACCTGCAAAAGCTGCAGAAACTCAGTGCCAATCTGTGAAAGATGCCGGGAGGCTGCACCCTTCAAATCCACAGGGACAGAGGTCCCCAAGATCATGGGAATATACCACTTGCATTAGCAGGACCTGGATATGGGACATGGAGTCAAAGGAGATAATTTTAGAGCTTTAAAATTTGACTACCCTGTTAGATTTCAGACTTGCATGGGGCCTTTAGCCCCTTTGTTTTGGCCAAATTATCCCATTTCAAATGGCTGTACTTACCCAATTCTTATATGCTCATTGTATCTAGGAAGTAACTAACTTGTTTTTGATTTTACATGCTCATAGGTGGGAGGGTCTTGGCTTACTTGGATGAGACTTTAGATTGTGGACTTTTAAGTTAATGCTGAAATGAGTTAAAACTTTGGGGGACTGTTGGGAAGGCATGATTGGTTTTGAAATGTGAGGACATGAGATTTGGGAGGGGCCAGGACAGAACAATATGGTTTAATGTGTTCCCACCCAAATCTCATCTTGAATTATAGCTCCTGTAGTTCCCACATATTGTAGGAGGAACCTGGTCAGAGACAATTGAATCACGGGGGTGGGTTTTTCCATGCTATTCTTGCAATAGTGAATAACTCTCATGACATCTGATGGTTTTATAAAGGGGAGTTTCCCTGCACAATTTCTCTTCCCTTGTCTACTACCATGTGAGACGTGCCTTTCACCTTTCACCATGATTATGAAGCCTCCCCAGTCATGTGGAACTGAGTCAATTTAACCTCTTTCTTTTGTAAATTGCCCAGCCTTGGGTATGTCTTTATCAGCAGTGTGAAAATGGACTAGTACAACCTCAAAGCCATGCAAATACATGAAAATTAAATAGTCTGCTTCTGAATGATTGTTGGGTCAACAATGAAATCAAGATGGAAATTAAAAAATTCTTTGAACTGAATGATAATAGTGACACAACCTATCAAAACCTCTGGGATACAGCAAAAGTGATGCTCAGAGGAAAGTTCATAGCATTAAAGGCCTACATCAAAAAGTCTGAAAGAACACAGATAGCAATCTAAAGTCACACCTCAAAGAACTAGAGAAACAGGAACAAACCACGCCCAAATCCAGCCAAAGAAAAGGAATAACCCAGATCAGAGCAGAATTAAATGAAATTAAAATAAAAAAACACAAAAATCTATAAAAGATAAATGAAATGAAAAGCTGGTTCTTTGAAAAGATAAACAAAATTGAAATTTCATTAGTGAAATTAACCAAGAAAAGAAGAGAGAAGATCCAAATAATCTCAGTTAGACACGAAATAGGAGATATTACAACTAATGCCACAGAAATGCAAAAGATCATTCAAGGCTACTATGAATACCTTTACATGCACAAACTAGAAAACCTAGAGAAGATGGATAAATTCCTGGAAATATACAATTTTCCTAGATTAAACGAGGAATAAATTGAAACTCTAAACAGACCAATAACAAGCAGCAAGAATGAAATGGTAATAAAAGAAAATGTCAACAAAAAAAAAGTCCAGGACCAGATGGATTCACAGCTAAATTCTATCAGACTTTCAAAGAAGAATTGATATTAATTATATTAAAACTATTCCAAAAGATAAAGAGGGGATTCTTCCTAAATCATTCTATGAAGCCAGTATCACCCTAATACCAAAACCAAAAAAGGACACAACAAAAAAGGAAAACTACAGACCAATATTTCTGATGAACATAGATGCAAAAATCCTCAACAAAATACTAGCCAACCAAATCCAACAGCATATAAAAAAGGTAATTCACCATGATCTTGGTTGCATACCAGCAATGCAGGGATGGCTTAACATACACAAGTCAATAAATGTGATACATCACATTAACATAATTAAAAACAAAACTTACATGATTATCTCAATAGATACAGAAAACCTTTTGACAAACTCCAGCAGTCCTTTATGACTAAAACCCTCAGAAAAATTGGTATAGAAGGGATATACCTTAAGGTAATAAAAGACATGTACGACAAACCCACAGCCAATATTAGAGTGAACAGGGAAAACTTGAAAGCATTCCCCCTGAGAACTGGAACAGAAAAGGATGAAAACTTTCACCACTTCTATTCAGCGTACTACTGGAAGTCACAGTCAGAGCAATCAGACAAGAGAAAGAAATCAAGGGCATCCAAATCTGTAAAGAGGAACCCAAACTGTCACTGTTCACTGATAATATGATCATATAAATAGAAAACCCTAAAGACTCATCCAGAAAGCTCCTAGAACTGATAAATAAATTCAGCAACATTACAGGATACAAAACCAATGTATGCAAATCAGTAGCACTGCTATACCCCAACAGTAACCAAGCTGAGAATTAAATCAAGAACTTCACCCCTTTTAAAATAGCTGGAAAAAAAAATACTTAGGAATATACCTAACTAAGGAGGTGAAGGACCACTACAAGGGAAACTACAAAACATTGCTAAAAGAAATCACAGATGACACAAACAAATGGAAACACATCCTGTGCTCATGGATGGGTAGTATATTAGTCTGTTTTCACACTGCTGATAAAAACATACTCAAGACTGGGCAATTTACAAAAGAAAAAGATTTAATTGTACTTACAGTTCCACATGGCTGGAGAAGCCTTACAATCATGGTGGAAGGCAAGGAAGAGCAAGTCACATTTTACACTGATGGCAGCAGGCAAAGAGTGAGATCTTGTGCAGAGAGATTCCCATTTTTCAAAACCATTAGATCTTGTGAGACTTATTCAGCATTACGAGAACAGTACGAGAAAGACCTGCCCACATGATTCAGTTTCCTCCCATCAGGTCCCTCTCACAGTACGTGGGAATTCATGATGAGATTTGAGTGGGGACACAGCCAAACCATATCAAGTAGAATCAATTTTGTGCAAATGACCATACTGCCAAAAGCAATTTATAAACTCAATGAAATTCACATCAAAATTCTACCATCATACCTCACAGAACTAGAAATAAACATCCTAAAATTCATGTAGAACCAAAAAAGGGCCCAGCTAGCCAAAGCAATATTAAGCAAAAATAACAAATCTGGAGGCATTACATTACCCAACTTCAAACTATAACACAAGACTATAGTCATGGAAACAGCATGGTACTGGGATAATATTGGGCACATAGACCCATGGAGCAGAATAGAGAACTGAGGAAAAAAAGGAAAACACTTACAGTCAACTGATCTTCGACAAAGCAAACCAAAACATAAAGTGGGGAAAGGATACCCTATTCAACAAAGGTGCTGGGATAATTAATTGGCAAGCCACATGTATAAGAATGAAACTGAATCCTCATCTCTCACCTTATACAAAAATCCACTCAAGATGGATCAAAGGTTTAAGTCTAAGACAAAAACCACAAAAAATCTAGAAGATAACATTGGAAACACCCTTCTAGACACTGGCCGAGGCAAAGACTTCATGACCAAGAACCCTAAAGCAAGTGAAACAAACAAACAAAAAAAGATAGATGGGATTTAATTAAACAAAAAAGCTTCTGCAAAGCAAAAGACATAATTAGCAGAGTAAACAGAAAACCCACAGAGTGGGAGAAAAATCTTTGCAAACTACGCATCCAACAAAGGACTAATACCTAGAATTTATAAGGAACTCAAACAAATCAGCAAGAAAACAAACAAACAATGCCATCAAAAAGTAGGTTAAGGACATGAATAGACAATTCTCAAAAGAAGATATACAAATGGCCACCAAACGTAAAAAAAAGAAAATGCTCAACATCACTAATTATCAGGGAAACACAAATCAAAACCACAGTGCACTAACACTTTACTCCTGCAAGAATGGCCATAACTTAAAAAAAAAAAAAAAATAGATGTTGGCATGGATTTGGAGAAAAAGGAACACTTTTACACTGCTGGTGGGAATGTAAAGTAGTACAACCATTATAGAAAACAGTGTGGAGATTCCTTAAAAAACCAAAAGTAGATCTACTATTTGATCCAGCAAGCTCATTCCTGTGTATCTACCCAGAGCAAAAGAAGTTATTATTTGAAGAAGACCCTGCATATTTATAGCAGCACAATTAACAATTGAAAAAATATGGAACCTTCCCAAATGCCAACCAATGAATGAGTGGATGAAGAAAATGTGATATGTATATACTATGAAATACTACTCAGCCATAAAAAGAAACAAAATAATGGCATTCCCAGCAAGCTGGATGGAATTGGAGACCGTTACTCTAAGTGTAATAACTCTGGAATGGAAAACCAAATATCATATGTTCTCACTTATAAGTGGGAGCTAAGCTATGAGGACACGAAGCCATAAGAATGATACAATGGACATTGGGGACTTGGTGGGAAGGGAGGGAGGTTAAACAGGTATAAAAGATGACACATTGGGTACACTGTACACTGCTCAGGTGATGGGTGCACCAAAATCTTGGATATCACCACTAAAGAACTTATCCATGTAACCAAACACAAGCTTTTCCCCAAAAACCTATTGAAATTTTCTTTAAAAAAAAAAAGTTTATTAAAAAAAGAAGTAGTTGATTCCAGGGCTGAGACAGAGAAAATCCTAGGTAAGCCATATATATCTGGTGGTGTGGGAAAGTAAGAAGATGTTCAAAAGAAGGTGGGAGCATTTTGAAAGAACACAGGAGCCAATCAGACTTATAATGGTCCTAACAACCAAGGCTGAATCAATTTGGGCAACAAATAATGTTGGTATTAAATTTTAACTTATAAAATAAAATATTTATAAGTATATATTGATATAAATATTGAATACATAAATAGAAGGAAAAAAGACGGATAAGGATAAAATATATGGTGGGCATATTCTTACTCCAGTTAGAATGGATATTACAAAAAAGAAAAAGTAACACATGCTGGTGAGGATGTGAAGAAAGGGGAACTCTTATACACTGTACACTCATTACAGAAAATAGTATGGGGATTCCTCAAAAAACTAAACATAGAAACACTATATAATCCAGCATTGCCACTACTAGATTTATATCCAAAAAAATCAGTGTGTTGGAGAGCTACCTATACCTTCACGTTTATTGCAGCACTACTCACAATAGCCAAGACACGGAATCAACTTAAGCGTCCATCAGCTGTTAAATGGATAAAGAAAATACTATATATCCACAAGGAAATATTATTCAGCCATAAGAAGGAATGAAATCCTGTCATTCCTGGCAACATGGATGAGCCTGCAAGACATTATGTTAAGTGAAATAAACTAGGCACAGAAAGACAAATACTAAATGTTTCTCACTCATATGTGGGAGCTAGAAAAGTTGGCCTCATGGAGGTAGAAAGTAGAATAGTGGTTACCAGAGCCTGGGAACAGTTGGGAGAGTGATGAAGATATTGATTTCTGGGTACAAACATAAAATTAGATAAAAGGAATAAGTTCTAGTGTTCTATAGCTCGGTAAAATTACTACAGGTAACAACAATTTATTGTGTATTTCAAAATAGCTAGAAGAGAGAAACGTGATTGTTCCCAACAAAAAGAAATGATAAATGTTTGAGGTGATGGCTATCCAAAATACTTTGATTTGCTTTACTACACACTGTATACATATATTGAAATATAACTTGTACCCCATAAATATGTACAATTATGTCAATTAATTTTAAAAAATTAATTTAATTTTAAAAATATGGTAGGCAGAACATGCCAAATTAAACTTTAACATTGTTGAACTTTGTTGAAAACAATATGTCTAATACTCAAACTTTAAATTTTGTGTAACGAGTCACTTCTTAGCCACATGAGGCTTAGGTAAAATTAATTATGGTTATGATTAATGAATGGCAACTAGTTTGACACTGAAGCAAAAAGCAGAAGGACAATGGGATCTCTAAACTCATAGGCAGAGATGAACATGAGAATATAAAACTCTAGCAATAGCAAAAAGTCTTGGGACAGCATTAAGTTTCCAATGTCTGTGGAATAAACATTGAATTCATTTATAAATGTAAAGATCAGTGTGATCTTAGTCAACTTATACTGATGAGCCTGAACAATGAAAGGAACCACATTAGTGAACCAAAGACAGGGAGGAAGTAAGATGACTCCCATTTTGCTTTTAAAATTTATAAGTGGCAGCCTTTAGCTTTTCATGTATTTTAAATAAATCAAAATTAGAGCATATAAAGTATATAATAAAATGTATATTGACATATATTAGATTTGGAAATACAGAGATTTTTATCCTTAACATTTAAAAAAATTAATTAATAGTAGAAAACTATGTAACTAGTATCTTTTAGATTATGAATGTATTGAAGAATGAATGTAACTTGTTTACATGATTTAGATAACTCTGAATCCTTTATAAGTTCAAAAAATTATTTTTTGTCACATTTTTATAAAAGTGGGCTGTCGCAGTTTTAAATCCTAGAAACTTACTTTTAGAATGTTCTAATTTTACAGTGCCAAAAAAGAGTAATGAGATGGAAAAAGTATAATGCAGTATAATATATATCCATACCAGTAAGGTAATGAGCTCAGAATGGTAGTAAAGAAAAATCAATTAATTTTTATGGGTGTTTTAAGATTTCAATCTTGTATGGCTATTTTCCGAGCTATGTGTAAATGTTGTAATAACACAATGTAAAGAGCAGATGGTCTCTTTTAAAGCATATGATGTGCACATAGATTCAATATAATTTTACTAATATTAACATAACAATATCCCTTGTAACTATCAGAAATCTAAATATAGTCCAGCTAGAGACATACAAAAGCACCTATGCCTCAAACAATTATTTTTAAAATTACATTTCTTATCTACTTTTAATTGTTTCAACCAATGTCTCCCAGATACACCATTCATATATCACATCCAAGATTCAAAATAGAATGTAGATTAGATTATTTTCATTTTTTCTGAAAAAATAATACTTATCTACTGGCATTCATTAGGGTAGGACCTGAGAGAATGAAAAAATTCAATAGATACATTATCTATTTACATACTAGAGAAGGCATTTTATTTCTGTGAGTACAAGAACCTAATTTTAGCATTCAGTCAATGCTGAAAAAGAAAGAAAATGAAAATATAATGTGTCTACATTGTACCATTTTGAACACATTTTCCCGATATGTGAGGGGGTTCTCCAGGTATTATTTCAATCATTTTTAGATTTCTGAATTGATAATTTTGCCCTCCCAGGAGATTGGGAAAGACAAGTTACCAAGGGTAGTTTGATTTTTTAAAATCTTTTGAGGCAATTGTCTTTTCAATCATAAGATTCCATCAACATTACGATAGAATAATAATCCATACTGACATTGATTCTCATCTGACTCGGTCTATTCTCTGGAAAAACATGTAGAAAAGCATCACATGTATTTCAATCTTGAAATGTAGTGATTCCTCTGTGTTTGTATTTAACATCTACGTGATATACAGAATAGAATTTGGTTGAGAAGCTTACACAGTTAAATTGATTTTCTGCTCTACTACCTGGGTGATCCTGGGAAAAGATCTGTAGCTATAAGGTAGTATTCTCAAACATTAATATGAAAAAACATCACCGAAGGACTTTAAGTGCACATTCTGGTTCAGTAGATCTGGAATAAGGACTGAAATTGTGTATTTTTGACACACTCCCTGTTGATGACAATGCTGGCCCTTGATGCTGATACTGCTTGTTTGTGAGGAAAAATTGTGAATTGAATGTAAAGTACTTAGCATCATGTCTGAAATTCAAAAAAAAAATAGTATGTATTAAGTTACTAGTTAGCTATCATTCTTTCAAGAGAACATATGAATAGTTCATGCAATTACATAATAACTATCAAACCTATTTTTCATTTCTCATATTTTCCTGTTTATTTTATCTATCATTCTATATAATTATTATTTTAAAGTCTAACCAAGGAGTTTTTCTTTTCCATATATATATTATTTATCAAGAAAACCTAGCTAGTTTGAGGGAGAATTGACTTTTCCTGTGTTTATGATATATTATCCAAAGTATTATTCTATTTCTGAAGTTATGACATGGAAACCTAGCTTGTTCCTTAAACACAATCTCTCATAGTTTATTTCATTCCTGGAGGTACTCACTGACTTTCTTTAGCTTCAGTAATTATTACCATGTAAATCAGCAGGAGTGTGAGTTGGTTAAATACTGTTTTACATTCTCTCCATCAAATTAAATGTCATGAATTTTTTTCATTAATAAATTTTTTGGAGTAGTTTTAGGTTCACAGCAAAACTGAGCAGAAAGTACAAAGTCTTCATGTACCCCCGGCGCAATCTCCTGCAGTAGGGACAGATTTCGTGTCCTGCACTTGAGTGGTAGATTTGCTACAATTTTTGTCAAACTATATTGACACATCATTATTACCCCAAGTCCATAGTTTAATTAGGGTTCATTCTTTGTGTTGTATATTCTATGAGTTTTAATGCATAATTATTGTATCCACCATTGTAGTATCATATAGAAGGGTCTCCCTGTCTTAAAAATCCTCTGTGCTCTTCCTGTTCATCCTTGCCTCTACCATAACCCCTGCAACCACTGAGCTTTTTACTCTTCTCTGTTTTGCCTTTTCCAGAATGTCATATATGTATATGACATATACATATATATGTATATATATGCATATATATGTATATGACATATACATATATATGTATATATATGTATATGTATATGACATATACATATATATGTATATATATGTATATGTATATGACATATACATATATATGTATATATATGTATATGTCTGGCCATCTGGATGTACACTGGCCATCTGGATGTGTACGTGCAGGTCACAGGGGATATGATGGCTTAGCTTGGGCTCAGAGGCCTGACAACCATGACTCTTGGAACACTACAAAGGGAGCAGAAAATTCTAAAAGTAGAATGTGTGGTTCCTTTTTATGTGTTCTTGAAGGTATAACAGGGCTGTGAGAAGTCTTCTGTAAATGTTCTTCATGTTGTATCAAAGACGACAAAAAGAAGGAGGAGAAGAGTGGCAGGAAATGGAAGAATAAGTCACAGAGGAGCCAAACTGGGGAGATTTTAAGGTCTCCACAAGACAAAATTTTTTTTGATACTCCAGGATGTCAAAGAATGACTGTTATTAATTGCACGTAGATTCTGTACAAATCTCCACCATTCCTACACAACTTGGTTTTCTTACAAGAAGGAGTAAAGTGTTACATGCTCTTGTACAAGAAGTAAGTAATCTTTTATGTATTCCAAAACTATAGTTCTTATTCCCTCCAAGGTCCTTGATACTGGAAGATATTGCTTAAAGTTTGAAAGACATTTCGATGGACCTACTTCAATTTTGATTGAGACAGCTGAGATAAGTTTTCCAATATTGGTGGATGATTTTGACCACAATTGATCAGAAACCACTTTTGACAGGTTTGTAATTCTTCATTATTTAACAATTCAGTATTTCCATGGCGATAAGAATTGCAATATATGAATTAAAAGAAGCAGAGTTTGAACAAAAATTATATCTAATAATTCAATTTTATCTTCTAATGCTAAATACATCCCCCCCTTCTTAGAAAATAAGATATGGGCATTATGTAATTCTGAAAGTCTCTCCCTATCAAATGGATGGGGGCTGAGGGAATCAAGAGAAAAACATGTGTTCCTTGTATAAAACCTAATTGGAAACTATAAATTAAGACTTATTTGCTGATATAAAAGTATGTGTTTCACCTACCATCTGTATCGTTTTTTCAATTCAAGGAATGGTCCTTGTAATAATGTGGGATTCATTGCTAATAATGTAGCTCAGTGTCAGTAAGAGCTTGTTTGTTCTCAATTTAAAATAATTTGAATTTATCCTAAAGTATTAGTGTTGCTGAAGTAGATAGCTAGTCAGACATGAGCAGGGCAGGACAGAACCCCCAAATCCCCACCCACAGTAGAAATGTCAGGCAACTATCAGGTGGTGGTCAGGCAGTTGTTATACATCGCTCTAAAATGATAATTTGTCACAGCTGGTGCCAGAAAAAGGCCGCCTCCCAATAGATAGAAAAAAACCTGAAAGTAGTGATCAGCAGCTTCCCAATAAGATCTTAAGAGTTGGGTAAGTGGGCTCAAGCATGCACACTAAGAGGCAAAATAGTGAAGTTTAACCAGTAAATGGCATTCTAGAAATATTAGAGTGTTAAGAGAAGAACACCTCAAGTGAGAGTGTGTACACCACCAGTAAACAAACTGTGCATGCGGCGCCTCTCAAGTGCTGGCAGGCCACTGCACATGTGGACAGCCCACTCCAAAGGAAGAATCAGGGAAGAAGGGATGCAAGACCCCAGAAGTATAGCAACGTATAAAAGTGTAAGTCAAAGGTCAAACTATGCACTTATCTTTCAAGTCGCCAGCTTTGTCCTCTTCCAAGTTTACTTCCTTTTGTTCTCGCTCTAAAGCTTTTTGTTAAACTTACACTCCTGTTCTAAAACTTGTCTTAGTTTCTCACTCTGCCTTATGCCTTTTGGTCAAATTCTTGTCCACAGTTTTTTACATTCACTGAGAAGCAGAGAATTGGGTTAGTTTTTGAGTTTAAGAAGTCATTTAGGGGTTATAAATTGGCTGAACAATTGTTTTAGTTGTAAACTCAAGACTTACTTGCTTTTCTTCTCTTTTTTTTCCTTTTCTTTTCTTCCTTGGTTAGAATGCATGAATTTGGTCATGCAAAATTAACTAGATCATGAGATTAAGAGGTAGCCCAACTGGGGGATTGTCTCTTTATTATACTTGCCAATTTGTCATTGAATCCATTTATAATGCTTGAGTTAGGGAGTGTATTATTTTGGTGATTAACATATCTTTCTCCTAACAGGCCTGAATATTGTTACTTTTTTTTTTCCAAATCTTTAATGGTATAACATTAGGAGCTCATTAGTGTTTTTGTTGGCACTGTTGTATTTTGTTCTTATCAAACACCTTTCGGAAAACTAAGGTAATATTGTTTCGTAAAGCTTTAGCAGTAGTATTTTATTCATAATCAGCTTCAGAAATGTATGAAAGTCTTCTAAAAATTGCTCCAGTTTTCCTTTGCTATCCAATATTTGGCTTTACTTTCTAAAACAACCCTGTAGACCAGTTGTTATAAATCAGATAACCTGAAATTATAAGCTCAGATGTTTAATTTGAGTATTCTGTTAAATCCAATAGGGCTCTTAAGAAGTTCAGTCAAGGAATTCTTTAATTATAGTTTTAATCTTGACCTCTGACTGTGGTTGACAAACTGAGACAGATTCTTCTCTACTGGATACAGATACAGAGTGTTCCCAAAATGGAATCAGAACAGCAGAAAAAGGTTAAGGAAAAGGAGGAGGATGTAAATCTAGGCTAGAAAGTTCTGACGATGTGTGCTAATGAAAAGGAAGGGCTGAAGCAGGAGGAGAAATTTCAGAATCTTTTTCCAATTCAGAAATTATCTTAGACTTTTTTTGTTTTACTCCTACAGATAAGTTTATTAGAACCTCTTTTTAGAGACTTCTAAGTACCAATCACATTCATTTTTCTAGTTATTTTGTTTTATTTTAGAGCTAGCTTTGTCTAATTAAGCATGCAGGTAAATTCGTTTAGGTGTTTCAAATGTGCCCTATTTTGGTCATTGTAATTTGGTGTCATCATATGTGTGACATATTTTCTAAATATTTTCATGAAGAGGCACCATAAGTATTAAACAATGAATGAAACTGGTGTTTCTAGTGGTGGATTGCTCCTTAAAAATGAACACTTGGTTTTAGATACAGGACTGCCCCTAATTTAGATTTTTCTCTAAAAAAACTTAATGGAAAGTATTTTGAGTCAAGTGTACTACCTGTGGGAACATTACCTTGAGGTGTCACTCTGGAGTCAATTGTTCCCTTTCTTGTGTCTCAGTGATCCCAAGAGACTTGGGTGCTTAAGGCACTAGGTGGCCATTTTTTAATGTGTACACACTGGATTAAGCAAGAGTCCTTGTATGTTCTTCTCAAGGGATTCCCTATGAGACCATTTAACATCATGAGAAATACACTCTGACATACCTGAAAGACCCTAGTTACCTATGGTGCCTTCTGGTCAGAATAATAATAAAAAGTATAAAAAAACTTTGGTTCTTATTTTATCCCCATAGGAAGCCTTTTATAATTTTGGTCACTCAAGAGGGAAGTTTAGATTTGACAACCAAACAAAGCTTCAGAATCTGGCCAGTTTTAAAGATTACAAATTTTGCTTAAACTACAAAGATTCACTTTTTACTTTCAAAGAAAAGCTATTTTCTTCCTGACCAAAATTTTGAATGAGAGAAAAGGCTATAGAAACCCTAATGAATAATTAAAAACAAAACTTTTACCTCAGAGAAAAGTGAAAGTCACAAGTTTTTGGTCAGCAAAATCTCTAGAAAATAACAAATGAAGCTTCTACCTAGCAGTAGAGCTTCAATTCCAACTTTGTTGAGTTAGGAAGTCTATATCTTGAATAAAGTCTGAACCTCAACCAAGCTGGGAGGTTCAGCCCTCAAAAAGGGCCTTACCAGATATTGCCCATGGATTCCAGTGAGGTTGGGTGAGTGAAAGTCATTTTGCTGGTATCAGAGCTCTGGTTGTTGGCCAAGATTTGAGTATCACTGGAGGTCCATTTTGGGTTCCTTCTTGCTCACCAAAATGTCACCTTAAATTAGATTAAGAAAATGTGATTAAGTTTAGAGTTTATCTCAATGCAAAGCTTTAAGATAGTCACCCAGGAAACACCAGCTTCAAGTAAATGTGGTCAGCATCCCAAAATGGTAAAGCTAAGGTTTCACGCACACAGGCAGAAACAGAAATGTCTAATAGGGTTGCAATAAAGTGAGTGAATATGTTAAGGCAATTTGATTGGTTATAGCTTGCTACATTCCAAGAAAGATTGCTTTAATATTTGTGAGGAGGGGTAATAGCTTTTAGGGGTCTTTTCTCTGGTAGCCTTTAGTCTTCCCTAATAATTTACAGAACAAAAATGAGATAGAGGTTTCATCTGCAATTGGAGAAACAGAAGTTACAGATGCATCCTATGTGACTTAGACCAAGAAATCACATTCCTCTCAGGGCTCAAATAATTCAAAGTTCCAATAACATTAAGTTTGAATTATTTAATTTCACAAGGCTATGTAAAGATAGTGGAATTGTTTTGTCATCAGAAATTGTTTTATTCTATTTTAGTAGATCTTCCCAGTTTTTCTAAGTGGTACCAATTTACCCACATTTGTACAAGCAATGCATGAGAGTTCCAATTGCTACAGAACTTTGTCAACTCACGTTACTATAATGTTTCTTATGTTAGCCATTCTGATGAGTGTATAATGCCTATATTACTTAGTACTTTTCTTGATTAATAATAGGGTATTGTACTTATGTGTGTTTTTATTGAGTATCTGAATATATTTTATGAAGTTATCCTCAAGTTTAATTCTTCATTTTTCATTTGTATTATCTCTCTTTCTTATTAATTAGTGTCTTATAGATTTATATATTCTGGGAGAATATTTGCAAGACCTTAATGAGTTGTATTTATTGCAAATAATTCATCTGTTCTTTGAATTTACATTTGTATTGGTATTCTTTATGAACAAAGTTCTTAATTTTCATGTAAAATAATGTTATAGTAATTAATTCCATATTTATATCCATAATTTTTATTAATTAACTTTTAACAGTTAGGTTTTATACTACTTTTCTGTGTATAGTGTTTGGAAGGGGGTCACAGACAATTTTCTTCTATTTCAGTATACACTTCACACCTTCATTTATTTAAAGATAATCCTTTTGTAATGTAAACCTTGCTGTAAATCAAGATCATATTTATTACGTAGGTGTATTTTTGGTCTATTTATTCTGTTATACTGCTCCATTTGTCTTTCTTCATGCCAGTATTATATTGTCCTATTTTCTGTGTTTGTCCTAATTACAATCAATGTTGATAACTGATCTGTTAATTATGTTTACCAATATTTTGTCTGTGTTCAAGAATGTCCCAGTGATTCTTAGTCATTTATTTTGTTACCATAAATATTATATGATCAGTTTTTATTTCCAATTCAGAATTCTGGTAATGTTGTATTTGGGAATACATTGAATTTTTAGATCAATTTGGAGAGCATTCACATCTTTACCTCTCTCTATCCATGATGTTAGTATACACCTCAATTTATTTAAATCTTCTTGAAGGTCTCCTAATGCTTTATCATTTTCTTGGTATAGGTCTTGCACATATTTGGTTGGGTTTTATATCAGTTAGCTTTGGTTTAAGTAAAACATCCCAAAATTTATCAAAATAAAAAAGCATACAATTTTTTAGGCCATAATTATATGCATTGACAAATGGGCTGAATCTCATTGGGGTGGTTCTACTGGTGTGGGTCTTGCTTAGCTCATTCTGGTTGGATTCCCTCTGGGTTTGTGATAAGCAGCTGGGAAAGCTTGGAACTGACTTCTCTCTAAGACACTTGGGTAAGATGACTCTTCTAGCTACATGTGGTTTATAATCATTAGGAGGCTAGTATAGACCTTTTCATATGGTAAAGGTGGACAAAGACCCAAATGAGTCTGTAAAGCCTTGAAAAACTCTTGATATTTACACTCTGAACTTGAATAATGTCACTTAATTGGACAAATGTAGTCATTGGGCCTAGTCAGAATCATACTGTGAAGAAAAATACCCTTTCAAGGCAAAATCTGATAATAATTTTATTCTTGTATCCTGTAATCATGAAAAATTTACTTACTGATAACATTATATAGATTTCCTTTTTTTTTGGATTTTGTCTACACACATATATATCATCTCTAAGAAATGACAAATTTATTTTTTTCTTACCCATCCTTATTGCTTTTACTTTTTTTCTTACAACAATCTATACTACAATGTTTACAAGTTAATAATGCTAATCCCTTTCCTGTTTCTGTTTTCGTAAGGTTTTCAGTATTATGCATTTAATTATAATGATGTATTAGTCTGTTCTCACTCTGCTAATAAAGACATACCCAAGACGGGGTAATTTGTAAAGAAAAGAGGTTTAATTGGCTCACACTTGCGCAGTGCGGGGGAGGCCACAGAAAACTTACAATCATGGCAGAAGGGAAAACAAACACGTTATTCTTCACATGGTGGCAGGAAGGAGAAGTGATGAGCAAAAGGGGAAAAGCCCCTTATAAAACTATCAGATCTTGTGAGGACTCACTCACTATCACAAGAACAGCATGAGGGTAACTGCCCCCATGATTAAATTATTTCCCATCAGGTGCCTCCCACCCCCAACACATGGGGATTACAGAAACTACAATTTAAGATGAGATTTGGGTGGGGGCACAGCCAGAGCATATCAGATGCATTATTATTAACTAAAGACAATACTTTATTGAAATGTTTTAATTTTATACCCAATATGTTCTTGGGAGGAACACTACAGAATTCAAGTAATATTTCATCCTATCATATGAAGCGAACATATTTTCAACATAAGTTAATAGTGTTAATGTTAAGCCTGGTCACCAGGGTGACACAGTGTTTGCCAGACTTCCACACCAGAAATTTAATTCCCCTGCCCCCATCTTTCATACTGTATGATTTGAAAGTATTCACTATTTGCAGCCCATATACAAGGAAGAAGAGAATTATGCTCCATCTTCTTGAGGGTAAATTAACTATATACATTATTGGAATTACTTTACATCAGTGATTTATTTATTTTCTTTCACTTATTATTCTATTCAATTATGTATTTGTATCAGTATTTACACATGAATTTTTACTTTGAGTTATAATAAAATACTACTTTATTTTTTTACTCTAATTTTTTCAGCTTTAGCCTTTGGGAGCTATTTCAGAAGGCTCCTGTGTATTTGTGACATACCCCATGATTGGCACTTTTGGAAGTCTTCTTTTGATGCACTAAAGGATGCTCGAGATTTATCTCATCTATTTTCCGTTTCCATCCTAGACACAGTGATTTATCCGAAGAGCACTGACTCCTTTTACTTGAAAATGGCATTAGAAGTCAAGATCTGAATGTTATCTGTGCTTATTAACCCTGGAGTATTTTGAATCTAGAGTCTCTCAGATGGCAGAACAAGTGTATATACATATGTATACTAACATATGCACACAAAATATCTGTACATAATTCTATACATATCCTTTTGTATCTATATCAAGTTAAACATAAATTTATATAGATAGTTCCGATATTAATAAATTAGCACATTGATCATTCTAGTCTTGTCCTTACTTGTTTAGCCTCAGACTCCCACAGTGAAAAACATGGATGGTATTCATCATTTACTTATTCTATTCTAGTATACAAGGTTAGTGGCTTCAGAATTATTAAACAATACTCTGTAAGAAACAAATTTATAATGTAGGATACAGTGATTATATGACGTTCTTTTTACCTTTAGTTTTATAGTCTAAACATTTTCAGAATTACTTAGGCCTGCACTTTCTCCATCACCACTTTTAGTGAATTTATTTCATACTTTTGTAACACATTTTTTATCATTATTTATAGTCCATTTGGAATTACTGAATTACCCTAAATATTTTTTAAATATTTGTATACATTAAGAATACTCCTTGTGATGAAAAGTTTTGTGAGTTTTGACAGATGTACAACATAATTTATCCACCGTTATGGTGTCTTACAGAATAGTTTTCACTGCTCTAACATATCCTGTGTTCTTCTCCTATTCAATCTTCTTTTCTGAAACCTTTGGCAACCACTGATCTGTTTACTATCTCTATAGTTTTTATTTTTTCTAGAATGTCATATAATTGGACTCATACAGTATGTAGACTTTTCAGGCTGGCTTTTTTAACTTAACAGTTTGCCTTAAGATTCTTCCACATTCTTGCAGAGCTTTATAGCTCTTTCTTTTCAATCACTAAATAGTATTCCATTGAATGAAAATCCCACAGTTTGTTTATTCATCTATTGAAAGACATAGGTGTTTCTTTCAGTTAGGGGCTATTAAGAAAAAGAGACTATAAACATTTATATGCAGGTTTTTTTGTGGACATATGTTCTCAGATTGATTGAATAAATACTTATAAGCTCAATTTCTAGATCACATGGTAAGGATATAATTAGCTTTGTAATAAACTGCTGAACTATTTTCCAGACTGACTGTACTATTTTCCATTTCTGTCAACGATGGATGAGAGTTCCTGTTGCTCAACATCTTCAGCATTTGATATTGTTGGCTTTATTGTATTTTAGTTATTCTAAAAAGCATGTGGTAACATTTCATTGTTTTATTTTGTTTGCTTTTGTTTTGTTTTATTCTTATTTTTTGAGACAGAGTCTCACTCTGTCACCCAGGCTGGAGTTCAGTGGCATGGTCTCTGCTCACTACAACCTCCACTTCCCAGGTTCAAGCAATTCTCATGCCTAAGCCTCCCAAGTAGCTTGGATTACAGGCATGTTCCACCATGGCTGGCTAATTTTTTTGTATTTTTAGTAGACATGGGGTTTCAACACATTGGCCAGGCTGGTCTTGAATGCCTGATCTCAAGTGATCCACCTGCCTCAGCCTCCCAAAGTGCTGGGATTACAGATGTGAGCCACCACACATGGCCATTGTTGTTTTAATTTGCATTTTTTCTAACAACAAATGATTTTGTTTATCTTTATAGGTGACTATTGCCATCTGTTCAGATTTTTTTTAATATTTAAGAAATTGGGTCATTGGTTTTCATTATTGCTGAGGGTTAAGAGTTCTTTGTATATTTTGGTTATAAGTTCTTTATCTAATATGAGTTCTCAACAGACAGTTTAGTAAACGTGAATTATTGTCTACCAAGGAAATTCATAAGAGATTCACTGCCCAGCGTGTTTCTGTTAGGGCTGGTCATGTAGGTACCTTCTGCTAGCTTATATCAAATTTCTAGACTCCCAGAAAGAAGGCAAGTGTTAGGCATAAACCACATTGTTGCTACAAACAGTTTGGTCAAAATAAGCCATTTTTATTAGGTAACAATGTAAAGACCCCCAAATCCAAATCCAAGTTCTCAAGTACCAAATTAACTTTATATGCATATCTTTCTAAAAATAGCAATATCAGGCTTGCTATATTGTTTGTTCTGACATTTTAGAATTTTAAATTTCAATTACATTAGTTTAAAATACTCAATTCTATTTTTTACTATTTTTTTAATTTTCAAAATAATTTCAAGTACTATTTTAGATTCAGGTGGTACATGTGCAGGTTTGTTACATAGATACATTGCATGATGTTGTGGATTGAAGTACAAATGATCCTGTTACCCAGGTAGCAAGCATAGTACCCAATAGTTAGTCAACTACTACTCTCCCTTCCCCCTTTAGCAATCCCCAGTGTCTATTGTTGCCATCTTTATGTCCATGAGTACCCAATGTTTAGCTCCCACCTATTAGCAAGAACGTGTGGTATTTGGTTTTCTGTTTCTAAATTGTCAGGATAATGGCATCTAGCCACATCCATGTTTCTTCAAAGTACATGTTTTTGTTCCTTTTTTATGGCTGTGTAATATTCCATGGTGTATATGTGCCATATTATTTTTCTAACCCACTATTGATGGGCAACCAGGTTGATTCCATGTCTTTGCTATTGTAAATAGTGCTACAATGAGCATATGCATGCATATGTCTTTTTAGTAGAACAATTGATATTCTTTTGAATATATGTCCATTAATGAGATTTCTGGGCCAAATGGTAGTTCTAAGTTCTTTGAGAAATATTCGCACTGTTTTCCAGTGGCTGAACTAATTTACATTTCCACCAACAGCATTTAAGCATTCCCTTTTCTTAGCAGCCTCCTCAGCATTTGTTGTTTTGTACTTTTTAAAATAGCCATTCTGACTGGTATGAGATGATATCTCATTGTGGTTTTGATTTGCATTTCTCTGATGATTAGTGATGTGCATTTTTTTTATATGTTCATTGGCTGCTTGTATGTGTTCTTTTGAGAAGTGTCTGTTCATATTTTTTTGGCCCACTTTTTAATATGATTATGTATTTTTTGCTTGTTGAATTGTGTAAGTTCTTTATAGATTCTGGATATTGGATCTTTGTTTGATGCAGAGTTTGTGAATATTTTCTCCCATCTTGTGGTTTTTCTGTTCACTCTGATGATACTTTCTTTTGCTGTGGGGAAGTTATTTAGCTTAATTTGGTCCCACTTGTCAATTTTTGTTTTTGTGGCAATTGCATTTGAGGACTTAACCATAAATCATTTCACAAGACTGATGTCCAGAATAGTGCTTCCTAGGTTTTCTTCTAGAATTCTTACAGTTTGAGCTCTTAAATATTTAATCCACATCCAACTTGAGATAATTTTTGTACATGATGAAAGGGAAGAGTACAGGTTTATTCTTCTGCATATGGCTAGCCAGGATCTCAGCATCATTTATTGAGTAGTGATTCCCTTCCCTATTGCTTATTTTTGTTAACTTTGTCAAAGATCAGATGGCTATAGATGTGTAGTTTTATTTTGAGGTTTTCTATTTGGTTCCTTTGGTCATTGTGTCTATTTTTGTTGGTATCAGTACCATGATGTTTTGATGAATATAGTCTTACAGTACAATTTGAAGTCGAGTAATGTGATGCCCCAGCTTTGTTCTTTTTGCTTAGGATTGCTTTTTCTATTACTGTTTTTGTACCTTAGTCTGAATGTTTTATTTTGTCATTAATATCTTAAGAATAATAATTGTAGATGTTATAAGGCTCATAACTTTAAGTTCTATGTCTGCATTTCCTGATCTTTATGTATTTTAAGTTTTTCTCTTAGTTTTGTCAATTTTTGTCTTTTTTTCACTCCACCATTTGTTATTGAGTGACATATTTCACATTTTAAAATTGGGAGGTAATTTAATTCTCTAGAGGAGGAATATTCTCTCAAAGAAAATTTACTTTGATTCTGTCAAATAACCTAGGAACACTTTCAGTTTAGGTGTTATTCTTTGTTATGTCTGGTTTATTTTCAATTCACCTTTAATAGTTTCTTAACTGAAAGCTTAGAGTGTTTCCTTAGGAACAGCTCCCTCAGATGTTGAGTTTCTACCCACAGTAATCTACCTATCCATGAGCAATTCCTGCTCAGTTTCTCAGCCTCTCATTTGCTTTCAAATAGAAAATGTCCTTTAGAAGAAAAACATTGCCAAATATTGGCTTGACTCTCTTTTCCTTAAAATCCAGTTTTGCAAGTGTTTCCTAGTTTGATAGTTCTAATGTCTTTAGTAGATATTTTTTAAATTTTAATAGCATTGTTTATTGTATTAGTTCTTAGAAATACACTGCTATAAAAAATGCAAAGACTAAAAGAATGAATATCACTTGAGGTCAAAATATAAAACAAAATGGACATGCCTGTTTACATGAATAAAATTAAGATGTTTATATCAACTTTTACAATGTAAAAAGGATAACAAATGAAGTATTCCAGAAAAGGAGATGTACTCAACTTAGGAATATTGTGAAAATGCAAATAGTGTTGATAATTCATTAGGCTTTATAACCAGAAATAGAAGGCAATACACTTATTTGAACTCTGCATCAATGAAGTAAAATCTTTATTCCTTCTATTCACTTTATTTACACATCTAAAATCAGCACATTTTGTTCTATGTATTTATTCAAATAAGATTAAGGCTTATCCTCTTTCAACACTTTTTGAGTCAAAAACTGATTTTGTATGTCTACTGCTTCCCTGTGTAAGCGGCATCATTTTCAAGTGTAGAAATAAACCCTTTTTTTCCCTCTTGAAGAAGCAATAATTTGCCAGGGCTATCATAATCCTCAAGAACTGTAAGACAGTACATTAAACAATAGAAATGTACTGTCTTTTAATTCTTTTATATATATATTTATTATACTTTAAGTTCTAGGGTACATGTGCACAACGTGCAGGTTTGTTACATATGTATACATGTGCCATGTTGGTGTGCTGCACCCATTAACTCATCATTTACATTAGGTATATCTCCTAATGCTATCCCTCCACACTCCCCCTACCCCACAACAGGCCCTGGTGTGTGATGTTCCCCTTCCTGTGTCCAAGTGTTCTCATTGTTCAATTCCCACCTATGAGTGAGAACATGGGCTGTTTGGTTTTTTGTCTTTGCAACAGTTTGCTGAGAATGATGGTTTCCAGCTTCATCCATGTCCCTACAAAGGACATGAACTCATCATTTTTATGGCTGCATAGTATTCCATGGTGTATATGTGCCACATTTTCTCAATCCAGTCCATCATTGGTAGACATTAGGGTTTATTCCAAGTCTTTGCTATTGTGAGTAGTGCTGCAGTAAACATATGTGTGCATGTGTCTTTATAGCAGCATGATTTATATTCCTTTGGGTATATACCCAGTACTGGGATGGCCAGTCAAATGGTATTTCTAGTTCCAGATCCTTGAGGAATCATCACACTGACTTCCACAATGGTTGAACTAGTTTACAGTCCCACCAACAGTGTTAAAGTGTTCCTATTTCCCACATCCTCTCCAGCACATGTTGTTTCCTGACTTTTTAATGATCACCATTCTAACTGGTGTAAGATGAGATCTCATTGTGGTTTTGATTTGCATTTCTCTGATGGCCAGTGATGATGAGCATTTTTTCATGTGTCTTTTGGCTGCATAAAATGTCTTCTTTTGAGAAGTGTCTGTTCATATCCTTCGCCCACTTGTTGATGGGGTTGTTTGTTTTTTTCTTGTAAATTTGTTTGAGTTCATTGTAGATTCTGGATATTAGCCCTTTGTCAGATGAGTAGATTGCAAAAATTTTCTCCCATTCTGTAGGTTGCCCATTCATTCTGATGGTAGTTTCTTTTGCCGTGCAGATGCTCTTTAGTTTAATTAGATCCCATTTGTCAATTTTGGCTTTTGTTGCCATTGCTTTTGGTGTTTTAGACATGAAGTCCTTGCCCATGCCTATGTCCTGAATGGTATTGCCTAGGTTTTTTTTCTAGGGTTTTTACGGTTTTAAGTCTAACTTTTAAGTCTTTAATCCATCTTGAATAATTTTTTGTATAAGGTGTAAGGAAGGGACCCAGTTTCAGCTTTCTACATATGGCTTGCCAGTTTTCCCAGCACCATTTGTTAAATAGGGAATCCTTTCCCCATTTCTTGTTTTTGTCAGGTTTGTCAAAGATCAGATAGTTGTAGATGTGTGGCGTTATTTCTGAGGGCTCTGTTCTGTTCCATTGGTCTATATCTCTGTTTTGGTACCAGTACCATGCTGTTTTGGTTACTGTAGCCTTGTAGTATACTTTGAAGTCAGGTAGCGTGATGCCTCCAGCTTTGTTCTTTTGGCTTAGGATTAACTTGGCAATGTGGGCTCTTTTTTGGTTCCATATGAACTTTAAAGTAGTATTTTCCAATTCTGTGAAGAAAGTAATTGGTAGCTTGATGGGGATGGCATTGAATCTATAAATTACCTTGGGCAGTATGGCCATTTTCACGATGTTGATTCTTCCTATCCATGAGCATGGAATGTTCTTCCATTTTATATTTTTATATTGTTTTAGCTTTGCAACTTGTTCTTAGTGCAATGATATGAAATCAAGTCTGCTTTTCTCTGAAGCTTAGGTATTATTGGCAGATTTTTAACCATTAGAATTATACTTACTGTTATCATTGGCATCCCAAATTCTTTGATTGCTATTTATTTATAATAATATTTGATTGTTTTCCTAATTAAGTAAATTTCCAGCTTCCTTTTTATTCTTTAACAGTCAATTTGTTTCTTATGTTTCTCATGTTTACTTTAGTATAAGTCTCTGATGCCTCTTATATCTTCATTTTTATACACCACTTTGGACTAACTTTCCACTCAGTCTTGCCATGTTCCTTTATATTGAATCAAAGTTTGGATTTACTGTTAGTAATTTGTTTCTTATTCTCTTTTTTAGTGTTAGCATTATCCAGTTGTGTTTCTGAAATACTGATGTGAAGTTACATTTATTTCATCTAAGATTTATATATGTATATTTGCCTCCCAGGAAAGGAGTTTGCCTCCTTCAGACCTCCATGGAATTTAGCTAAGTTTCAGTTCTTAAGACAAACAATACTGACATTTTAAGACTTGTCTTCCTCAGTCACTAATCATTGACATGAAGCTGACAGGAGCCAGGGTTTCAGTATATTTTATTACTATTTTAAGTCAGTCTCTAGTTACACGGAGTGAAAGGCAATTGATTCCTTAATCATACAGCTTTAAAATTCCAAGTCTAGGGGAAATGATCCTCTTCTGCATTCTCCCACTAAGATCTACGAGTTTGCTGTGATCCTATGACAGATAAAACAATGAGGAAATGTTTATTTGAATTTTTCCCAATAATAATGCCAAGCTGATATAATAAATAAACCATATGGTCATTTTCTAGTATTTACACTATCATAGAGCTTCTTATATTTTATTCATAGGATATAATGTCTTGGCTACAGTGTGAAGGGCCTGAATATATGAATATCTCATGTACAGTAATACAACATATGCATTCTTGAAGATTACCTTAGAGTTTAATTTATCTTTACTTTTTATTACTTGTAAATATTAGTAAATGGATGATTTAGAAAATATAAGTAGTTCAAGGTGAGTACTGTTTTACATTTTCTGATCCTGCTTCAGGACATGGATGGATGCCACAATAACATAATCGTGACTGTCAGGAATTTTTCCAGACATTAATAATAAGTGACACAGAAAGTCACAGACGGTACTGGTCATCAGTTTAGTCCAAATTTGATCAAAAGCTGAAGTAAGGAGGGGGAGAGGAGACAAAAACAGTTTCTAAAATAACCCCTTTTATACACATATGCATGTTTCTATGATAAAATAGAAAGCTTTCATTCACTTAAAAGTACAGTATATTTTGATTAAAATTTGCCTGATGTTAAATATTTCAGAAGAAGAATTATATGTAAATATTTCAGCACCATCTAAACTTTTCACCCAGGTGAAATAAACAGCTTTATTGCTCACACAAAGCCTGTTTGGTGGTCTCTTCACAAGGACGCGCATGAAATAATCCATCTTCTTTCTATCCTCACTGCCAAATACACACACACACATGCACACAAACCTATACATACATACACAGGTATATTCATATACACAAACAGTCTTGTTTTTCTAAAGCAATTGAAATATGTTTTCTAAATTGATTTTAAATATTACATATGTACATAAATATCATAGGTAAAGTAAAATTATTTTACGGTTTTATGGTAAATTTGTTTTATACAAGTAACTTAAAATAATTTTATGTTGAGAAAAAACTACTTTCTCCAATTGAACAGTTCATCTTGGACTAAATTAGGCATCACTTTCACTAAAATATGCTATTTTTTATAAGTAGAGTAACATTTGTCCTTATGAACAAACTTGCAGAAAAAATAATATTTTGCTATATAGACTTTGCTTATGTATAAAAAGACTTTAAGGGAAGATAAAAATGACTTTCTTTCCATTTCCTTGTACAGAATAATAGCACAATTGACATGAGTGAAATGTTATAGAAACAGACACATTTTGTTTGGAGACAAGTATGAAATATTTCAACCTTAAAGGTGGACTTTTTAGAAAATGGTGAACAGAGTAAAAACAACAGTGTTAATGGGAGAGCAGTTATAGGATCATCTATATTGTTAATGTAAATTATATTGCCATAGAATTTTTCCATCTTTTTCGAAACAAAATCAAGAGCATTTTATCATAACAAAAGTCTATTCTTTTCCAACTCAGTAGGAAATAGCCAGTAGTGGAATTCTCGTTAAAATGCACATGATAAAATATGCAGCTCAGATGTGTCTTGTAAATGTACAGGTTAAAAGAAACTTTTTTATAAATGAGCTGACCTTCAAAACAGTAATATCACACCTAAAACAAATGCCTGCTATTTGTGTGCCATGGGACTTTGACATATATAAGTAAAGAGATAAAACATATATTAGCACAATGTGGGAAAGTACCATCTTTGAAATAAAATAAATCTCCAACTTTATAAAAATACCTGGACAAATAACTTTTCATCGATGTGTCACCAGCATCCAGGTCTTCAGAGTAATAGTATTATCCCTCCTTTTTATGACTCCAATAGTTGAACCTGCCACAGACGTCTATCTAGTTTCCTGAATAGTCTTATCAGTAATGTATGAACTAGACCTTATATCATAAGGCAAGACAAAACATCAGTGAGATAGTGAAATACAGTCAGTTTATCAGCATTGATGTCATGTTAGTTGTAACCCAGCTCTACAAGGCTGATCATGTTAAGAAGATAAATGTACTTAGATTGTATTAGCAGCTGTGGAAGATAAGTCAGAGCAAGGTGACTATGAGTAGTATGTAGAGAAGTGAAAAATATCAACAGAGTAATACCAAAGTAGCAACTAAGAGCTTGTAGATATTCCTGGTCAAATTACTGAAAATATTCTCATATAACACCTTTTATTTTTTCTTTCTATATTTTAATACATTGGCAATGCTAAATTAAAACCAAGAATAAAAAATTGCAACCTGGCAAGTACACTGTTCTTTATTTTATGGAATATGATAAGATTTACAGTCTACAATCTGAAGCAATAGAAGGAAAAAAGAAAGCTTCTTCTAATGTATAAGAGTTACTCCAGTTACTACGTGAAACTCTAATAACAATTCATCTTTTTTATAATTCAAATGGTTTTCAATTCTCACATCTTTCAATGTGTGTTGTGTTGGAAAAAAATTCTTTAAACAACAATTAAAAGCAGTTTTTTTCTATATTCCTGATAAAATAAAACTATTATCTAATGATCTGTAATGCATGCTGATGAAACTATATTAAATGTCTCACTTCTTTTTTTAACTTTAAACAAAATTATAGAGTTGTTTGTTTTTGTGTAGGAACTTCTACTAAACATATGAGAGATTTATTCCTGTTTTTCTGTGGAAAATAAATCCATTTTTTACTGTGTGATATTTTATTGAATAAATATATCACAATTCATTTCGCTTTAACATTTTTTGTTATTACAAAGAGAAAATATTTGAATGTGCTTATACTCAATAATATAATGAGTATTCTTTTATATGTCTTTTTGTAAAAATATACTTGCATGTAAGATAAAGATGTCAACCTTAAATGATGAGATCCAGAAAATATAATTAAGTACAGAGTCTATTCATGATCAAAGTTTGAGAATGGCACTCAGGAAATACGGACTCCAAAGTGTCGGCTTTCCAAAATGCAGAAGCTAAAGTATTACTTGTATAGACAGAAACACAGAAGTTCAACAGGGTTGCAACATTTTCCATGTAAGGCCAGTACATCCATTACAGCAATTTGATCGGTTACAGCTTGCTATGTTCCAAGGAAGATCGCTTTAAAATTCTGTCTGGAGAAGCAATGGTTTTTATGGGCCTTATCTCTGGTGCCATTTGGTCTTTTCTAATAATTTACAGACAAAAAAATAAAGAGACTTAATCTAAAAACAAAGAAGCAGAAGTTGCAAATGCATGCTACATCGTTCAAACCACATAGTCACATTCATCTCAAAGCTTAAGTAACTTAAATTTCCAACAGCTTTAAGCTTGAATTATTTAATTTCATATTTCTTTTTTTCCATCAAGATGTTCCAAAGAAAGCATGGTAGATAAACTCAAACAGTTTGGTTCCCTGTAAGTTCAGGAACTTAGTCCAGTGTTGCTAGAAAAGCTCACTCCTAGGAAGTCATGCTTCATTGATGAGCAATTTACCAAGTTATAAAGCTGATGGGGTATAGCCCAAATTTAGAGCAAGGTGAAGAAGGTGACATTGTGACTTGAGTCAGGCTTCACAGTTGCATCTTCAATTAATGCAATTTTTTGAACAAACTTTAGTTTTGTCAGTTGTGTGTTGACTCCATTGCCAACAAATGCCGCACCAGGAGTAAAGACAAAAACAAGACAAAATGCTACAAATGATTATTATTCCTAGTTTTTTCCATCAGGTTTCCCAAGATCCAAATCAGCTTCTTATCCAATAATCCGGAGAGGATATTAAATCTGAAAGGTTAGTTATTTGGTTTTCCATATCAGCCATTAATGTAAATATGTTATCTAGTTCATCTGGGATATAGACACAACACTCAGTTTTTACGATAGTGCAAGTTCCCCCTTTCAATGCAGTGAGTATATCTAAAGCTATATGGTTCTGCAATACAGCAATTCTCATAAGAGCAACTTCACTGTTTAATAATAAGATCCAGGTGACTACCATTTACCACCTTTTATCGTGTAATTGGTTAAAGCCTCTACATGCCAAATGACAACCTCAGTACCCAGTTGTGGCAGAAAGATGGAAGCTAAATGATTATACCAATGAAATAGGGAATGAGCCAAATAAGACTATAAATAAGAAAAATTTTCAGGCTGTGAAAGCGTATGAACTATTTAACCTTGTGCCCAGCTGTAACCCAAAGAACACTGTCCTAAACATTCTTGGGTTAACTGTAGCCATTAATTGGTGCCTCATTGTCAAGTTATTCCATTTGGAGCTAGCCAATAAATACTGGCCACTGTGTTCATTCAGTGACATGTCAATCAGTACTTTGTAAGATAAGGGTGTGGACACATCATTTCTTGGGTATCCATCCCATATCTTCAGTGTTACTGAACTATGTGTCTTTGGTGTGATTCTTTTCTTTTTTCTCAACATAAAGCTGACTAAGTTGACCAAAAGAAGGGGTAAGCTATACAGAGATGTCTCAAATTTGTGTTGTACCATCCTAGAATTAAGTTGTCTTATTTCTCAGTTGAGGCAACGGTAGTATTAAAAGCAAAAAAAAGATTTCATCTACCAAAAAGCTCTTCCCATGCCCTTTGCTTTGTAAAGTATAATTAATAGACCAGTTACATATGTCATCCTTAGTCATACTAATGTAAGCACCAATGATTTTTCTTGAGAAATACAGATATATTTCTGATATTCTATCCAATATTTTCCTTAGAAAGGAGATACCCACCGTGATAGGTAAGAACCACCAGAAAAAGGTATGAGGTCACATATCCAACAAGTGTTTTTTTGTAATCTATCAGCATAGTTTTGACTCCATTGCAAGAGATTAGATTCATAGGCAATAGCTTTGGTAGTAGCAATAAAGCATAATATCTAGGGTTGAAAAGAAAGATATTTAGTGGGAACTTGCAAAGGAAGACTTTTAATGATTAATCTATTAATCATTAATCTATTAATGATTGTTAATATTAAGCATTAGTTTAGACACAGGTCTGGTTTGGTGTTTTGAGAAAGCTAACTGCATCTGATATATTTTTCTCATCTTTGTTGGTTCTAGATAGTTTCAATTTTTAAATCACTGGTTTAAGATAAGGTAGAAATTAGTAAAGTGACTTTCTTTAAATGAGTGACATGTATCTAAAAATCTATTACTTTTAACTTAGCAGCACACAGGTTAGTTAGGAGCACTTGATAAGGTCCCTTCCATTTTGGTTAAATGAAGTCCTTTAAAAGAATGCCATTTTCAACAGACAAATCTCCTGGTTGATGTCCATGGTCCTTGTGTTCCTTGTCTCCTTGGAGCTCACTGTGGAAAGAGTGTTTTACTATTAATAAATTACAATTTTTAATTAGTTGCCTTATGAGGCTGCTGCAATAATACAACATATCCCCCTTTGATATCATAGATTTACAATTACCTGAAAATAATTTCATAGGTCTGCCTGTGATAATTTCAAATAGAGAGAGCCAGTGTTTATGAATAGGGAAAGAGGTGGATCTTAGGATAAGAACAAGCAACCAGTGAAAGAGCTTTTGGCCAAGGGGTTTTAAAAGCCTCAGTTATTTTTGCCAAATGAATTTTGATTATTTTGCTTGTGTGTTCCACTAACCCAGGTGACTGGCAGTAATATGCACAATAGAAATGTTGGAGAGTGAGCCAGATTTTATATATCGACTAGATTATTTGTCCAGTGAAATGAGTCACTGTGAATGTCTAGAGGAACTCCACATATCAGAATATTTTTCCCAAAGATAATTTTATTTACTCCTAAGTCTGTTGCTCTTCTGCATAGAAATGCTTTTACCCAATGAGAAAACATATAAATCATCACTAGAATGTACTCGTACCCTTGTAACATAAATAGTTGGATAAAATATAATTGTCACGCTTTGAAGGGGCCTTCAGGTAAAGAAAAATGACTTTGAGTACTATGTAAATATTTCCCCAGATTATAGTTTTGGCAGAAGTGACGGTGATTGCATACATTATGAGCAATAATTGCAGAAATTTCCAATAATATTGTTTTCTCCAAGTAATCACTTCACCAGGGCTCCATTGAATTAAACCAGGTACATAAGCTAGGAAAGATAACTGTAATTTTGTTGGAAGTATGAGTAGACCATTTGGTGCATACCACAGTCCAGTCATAGAGGAGTTATTTACCCTTCTATTTACCAATTTTCTTGTTCTATTCTTAGGACTTCGGATTGAAGTAATTGTATATCAAAATCAAGTACTTCCTTGAAAACAAAAATGGGTTGACTTTCTTGCTCAGATACATTAAGGGAGCCCTTTTTGCTATATTATTTGATAATTGCTGTCCTTTGCTATCTGTAGTGTCTGACTTTCAGTGGTCTGGAATCTTGATAGTAGCTAATGCTTTTGGCAATAATATGGCTTCCAGAAATTCTGAAACAAAGTGTCCATTCTTTAGACTGATAGGAAATGTTCAAAATTCTCTTTTTTTCCATAACATTCCAAAGTCATCAGCTACTCTGAAAGCATATGTGCTATTTCTATAAATATTAGCAGTTGTTCCTTTTGCCAATTGACAAGCTCTAATTAATGCTATTAACTCAGCTTGTTGAGCCAAGTTTGCTTCTGGAAGATAAGCACTTTCTGTATTCTCAGTTAAAGATCCTATAACATAACCTGCATGATAAATTCCAGAATCATCAAGTATGATTTATCTGTACACAAAACAACATTAGCATTAGTAAGGAGAGTTTTTTTGCAGGACCATTGTAGGAGAAAGTAGCTGGTTGGTTAAGATTAGGAAATTGTGTGGCTTTTCATCTAAGAAGAAGGGGCAGAAGAGTAGCAAGATTTAGTTTTTGCATCTAGAAATTGTAATATGGAAAGAAGAAAAAACAAACTTCATAAAAAGCCTGTCTACTGATCGAATTTATTTAATACATATAGGTAGTAAAATATCATGTATATAAACATATAGACAGAAGCAAATTCTACAGTGTTGTAACATTCTTCTTCAAACAGTTTCTTTGCCCACTTTATTCTATCAATCTCTTCCTCATCTGTTCCATTGCTCTAAATAATTGTTAGCTGGTTAGGCAACTCTAAATTTGTACTTCCAAAGACATGACTCTTAAGTAAAAATTTACATCCCAAAGACGTAGAACTTACATTTAAACACCGTATTTGCTTAAACAAAGAAGAGAATAGATAAAGGCTTAGTAAAGACAGCATTGCCAGTAAAAGTATCTTTAACAAAGATAAGATTTGTTATGTAAACTTTAAGCCAATGTTTTCCTCATCTCAAAAATTTCTAGTGGCTTAAATACAGAGAGGAAGATGCCATTATAAATGGAGATTTCCTTTGTAGATGTAAATTTATTTTACAAACAATTTAAAAATAGCCAGCTTAATGCCAATAAGTCATATTTTGGAAACCAATCTAGTTAGGTAGGCAGTTTTTTCAACTTAACTTGTTTCTTGATTCTATTACTGACTTCCAGATGGAGTCCCTTAATGTATAGGACAAAGAAAGCATGCAGTTTTTAAGGCCTTAATATTTAAATATGTGAAAAGTAGGCGTAGGTGAAAAACAAAACACTTAGATCAACCCCAATTGAGAATCCCACTTTTTCATTGAATTTTTTGATCCCAGAAAGAGGGAAACATCATGAGTCTGCAACACTGCCACAGTGCAGCTCATTGCAAGGACATTCCCCCCAAGGCTGGTGGGCAACCCAACACCAATAAGCCCATTCTGTGATCAGTCCATCCCACTTGGAATTCTTATCCCTCAGTGGTGTTTCATAGCCTCCAGGGCTCCAAGTCACACTTTTCTTACCTATACTCACAAATAAATGAGTGGCTCTCTGCAGTAATAGCCATTCCTCATAAGCTCTGTCAGTCACATCCAAAACTTCAGTTAGCACTCACCAATGAGTTTTTGGCCATTGCACATTAAAAGGTCATGTGCTTTCATGGTACAAAGTGATCCCTGGCACTCCCCCAAACCAAAGAAATCCCAGAAAGAGAGCAGAGCTTTAGATCTGATTCTTCCCATTGAGGAACTAAGTGGCTAAGTTGGCTGGACTTCCAGGCCCAATAGGGACTTCCCTAAGGGGACTTTCCCCTAAGCCAAAATGAGTCATAGCTGCAAGCTAAGGGATTGAAACTTCAACCAATCAAAAGGGACGTTCCCCTAAGCCAAAATGAGTTATAGCTGCAAACTAAGGGAATGAAACTTCAACCAATCATATAGGGAGTTTAAGCTCTACCTGCAGCCTGATGTTTTTAACCAGTTAGGTCCACCAACCCACAAGGGAATAGAAAATAAGCTAGTCCTATAGAACAGAGAAAGGAAAAGGAGAGGAATCATGAGGGGATATAAGCATAAGACATCCAAGCCAGAAACGCAACCCTTCCGGGTCCCCTTCCTCATCGGCGAAGCTTTACTTTCGCTTTCGCTTTCCCTTTAATAAATCTTGCCGCCCCACACTCTTTGGGTCCGCACCTTTCTCTAATCAAGCAGTAACACTTCATTCCTTGAAGCCGGTGAGACCACGAACTCTTCGATCGAGAAAAACCTTCCATCAGAGGAAGACTTCTCGTTTCACCATTTTCATGGGCGTCCTTGTGAAGAGACCACCAAACAGGCTTTGGGTGAGCAATAAAGCTGTTTATTTCACCTGGGTGCAGGCGGGCTGAGTCCGAAAAGAGAGTCAGCGAAGGGAGATAGGGGTGGGGCCGTTTTATAGGATTTGGGTAGGTAAAGGAAAATTACAGTCAAAGGGGGGTTGTTCTCTGGCGGGCAGAGTGGGGGTCACAAGGTACTCAGTGGGGGAGCTTTTGAGCCAGGATGAGCCAGGAGAAGGAATTTCACAAGACAATGTCATCAGTTAAGGCAGGAACAGGCCATTTTCACTTCTTTTGTGGTGGAATGTCATCAGTTAAGGCAGGAACCGGCCATCTGGATGTGTATGTGAAGGTCACAGGGGATATGATGGCTTAGCTTGGGCTCAGAGGCCTGACATTCCTGTCTTCTTATATTAATAAGAAAAATAAAACAAAATAGTGGTAAAGTGTTGGGATGGTGAAAATTTTTTGGGGGTGGTATGGAGAGATAATGGGTGATGTTTCTCAGGGCTGCTTCGAGCGGGATTAGGGGCAGCGTGGGAACCTAGAGTGGGAGAGATTAAGCTGAAGGAAGATTTTGTGGTAAGGGGTGATATTGTGGGGTTGTTAGAAGAAACATTTGTCATTTAGAATTATTGGTGATGGCCTGGATACAGTTTTGTATGAATTGAAAAACTAAACGGAATAAGAGAAGGAGAAAAACAGGTATTAAAGGACTAAGATTTGGGAGGACCTAGGACATCTAATTAGAGAGTGCCTAAGGAGGTTCATCATAGCCTTGCCAGTAAAGATTATTTATTTACTTTAAGAGTTAAGAGTGGTGGTTTGGGGATAGCACCAGGAGGTATCAGCTGTGCTGGCTTGGAGAAACAGTGTAAACTGGCAGTGTAAACAAGAGCAGGGCATGTATGAGTAATTGAGAACAGTGAATAGGAGTATGACTAGACAGAAGACAGTAGGGATGACAAGTGTTTTGGGGCCCAATCCAAGTTGGTCTGGTGTCTGGAATGAGACTGGTACCTAATAAAAAGGAGCATCTATACGGGAGCTCAAATGGGCTGTCCCCTGTAGCATTCTGAGGACAGGTCTGATTTCTGAGAAGGGAAAGTGGTAAAAGTATTGTCCAGTCCTTTTTAAGTTGGTGGCTGAGCTTGGTGAGGTGTGTTTTTAAAAGACCTTTAGTCTGTTCTACTTTTCCTGAAGACGGAAGACCCTAAGGGATTCACTGAATACTAACAGCCTGAAAAGCTGCTTGGCTGATTTGACTAATAAAGGCTGGTCTGTTATCAGACTGCATAGAGGTGGGAACGCTAAACTGAGGACTCGTGTCTGAAAGAAGGGAAGAAATGACTGCGGTGGCCTTCTCAGACCCTGTAGGAAAGGCCTGTACCTATCCAGGGAAAGTGTCTACCTAGACTAAGAGGTATTTTAGTCATCTGACTCGGGGCATGTTGAGTAAAGCTAATTTGCCAGTCCTGGGTGGGGGCAAATCCCTGAGCTTGCTGTTAGGGAAGGGAGGGGGCCTGAATAATCCTTGAGGAGTAGTAGAATAGCAGATGGAACACTGAGAAGTTATTTCCCTGAGGATAGATTTCCATGATAGAAAGAAAATGAGAGGTTCTAAGAGGTGGGGCTAGTGGCTTGTACTATAGCATAGCCTGCCTTTGCTGGTTGTGGCGATTAGGTCTGGTGGAACCGTCATCAATAAATCAAGTGTGATCAGGGTGAGGAACAGGAAAGAAGGAAATATGGGGAAATGGGGTGAATGTCAGATGGATCAGAGAGATACAGTCATGGGGGTCAGGTGTGGTATCAGGAATAATGTGGGAGGCCAGATTGAAGTCTGGGCCAGGAACAATGGTAATTGTGGGACTTAACAAAGAGTGAGTACAGCTGAAGGAGCCAGGGCGCAGAAAGTATATGCATCAGGTATGAGGAAGAAAATAGATTTTGGAAGTTATGAGAAATGTAGACAGTAAGTTGAGCATAGTTTGTGATTTTGAGGGCCTCTAGAACAATTAGGGCAGCAGCAGCCGCTGCACGGAGACATGAGGGCTAGGCTAAAACAGTAAGGTCAAGTTGTTTGGACAGAAAGGCTACAGGGTGCCGTCTTGGCTCTTGTGTAAGAATTCTGACCGCACTAACCATGCCTAGGAAGGAAAGGAGTTGTTTTGTAAGGGATTGAGGTTTGGGAGATTAATCAGACATGATCAGCAGCGAGCGCACGTGTGTTTTTGTGAGAATTTTGCTGAGATAGGTAACAGATAAAGAAGAAATTTGGGCTTGACTGAAGTAATGGGGGCTGTCTGTGAAGCTTTGCGGCAGTACAGCCCAGGTAATTTGCTGAGCCTGATGGGTGTCAGCGTCAGTCCAAGTGAAAGTGAAGAGAGGCTGGGATGACGGGTGCAAAGGAATAGTAAAGAAAGCATGTTTGAGATCCAGAACAGAATAATGGATCGTGGAGGGAGGTATTGAGGATAGGAGAGTATATGGGTTTGGCACCATGGGGTGGATAGGCAAAACAATTTGGTTGATAGGCATAGATCCTGAACTAACTTGTAAGGCTTGCCTGGTTTTAGGACAGGAGAAATGGGGGAATTGTAAGGAGAGTTTATAGGCTTTAAAAGGCCATGCTGTAGCAGGCGAGTGATAACAGGCTTTAATCCTTTCAAAGCATGCTGTGGGATGGGATATTGGCATTGAGCGGTGTAAGGGTGATTAGGTTTTAATAAGATGGTAAGATGTGCATGATCGGTCGCCAAGGAAGGAGTAGAGGTATCTTATATTTGTGGGTTAAGGTGGGGGAATACAAGAGGAGGACGCAAAGGAAGCTTTGGATTGGGAAGAAGGGTGGCAATGAGATGTAGCTGTAATCCAGGAATAGTCAGGGAAGCAGATAATTTAGTTAAAGTGTCTCAGCCTACTAAGGGAACTGGGCAGGTGGGGATAACTAAAAGGAGTGCTTAAAAGAGTATTGTCTAAGTTGGCACCAGAGTTAGGGGGTTTTAAGAGGTTTAGAAGCCTGGCTGTCAATACCCTCAACAGTTATGGAGGCAAGGGAAACAGGCCCTTGAATATAAGTTAACGTGGAGTGGGTAGCCTCCGTATTGATTAAGAAGGGGACGGACTTACCTTCCACTGTGAGAGTTACCTAAAGCTCGGCGTCCGTGATGGTCTAGGGGGCTTCCGAGGCGATCGGGCAGCGTCAGTCTTCAGCCACTAAGCCAAGAAGATCTGGGAAGGAGTCAGAGAGCCTTGGGCCAGAGTTCCAGGGGCTCTGGGAGTGGCTGCCAGGTGAGTTGGACAGTCCGATTTCCAGTGGGGTCCCACACAGATGGGACGCAGCTTAGGAGGAATCCTGGGCTGTGGGCATTCCTTGGCCTGGTGGCCATATTTCTGGCACTTGTAGCAAGCTCCTGGGGGAGGCGGTTCTGGAGGAACACCTGGCCACTGTGGTTCAGGCGTTTGGAAGTTCTTTTGTGCTGGAGATGTGGCTGGGGTTTGTCTCACAGTGGAGGCAAGGAATTGCAAGTTTTTTCTATTATTGTACACCTTGAAGTCGAGGTTAATTAAATCCTGTTGTGGGGTTTGAGGCCCGGAATTTAATTTTTGGAGTTTTATTTAATGTCGAGAGCAGATTGGGTAATAAAATGTATTTTGAGAATAAGACGGCCTTTTGACCTTTTAGGGTCTAGGGCTGTAAAGTGTCTCAGGGTTGTTGCCAAAGGAGTCATGAACTGGGCTGGATTTTTATATTTGATGAAAAAGAGCCTAAACACTATCTGATTTGGGATAAAGAAAAAGGAGCATTAACCTTGACTATGCCTTTAGCTCCAGCCACCTTAAGAGTAAATTGCTGGGCAGGTGGGGGAGGGCTAGTCACGGGCCGAAACTGTAAGCTGGACCAGGTGTGAGGAGAGGAGGTGATAAAAGGATTATAGGGTGGAGGAGCGGAGGCTGAGGAAGAATTGGGACCTAGCTGGGCCTGGAGAGGAGCAGCCTGGGGAGGAGGGGAGAGGTCAGATGGGTCTGTAGAAAAGGAAGATTAGAAAGACTCAGTGATGCTTGGGGTTGGGACTGAGGGGACAGGTGGGAGGGAAAAAAGGAAGATTTGGGATGAGTTGCATTGAGAACAGAGACTAGAGAGGGACCGATGTGTGAAAGAATGCCTGGACGTCAGGCACCTCAGACTATTTGCCCATTTTACGACAAGAATTATTTAGATCTTGTAGGATCGAAAAATTGAAAGTGCCGTTTTCCGGCTACTTGGAACTACTGTTGAGTTTGTATTGGGGTCAAGCAGCATTGCAGAAGAAAATAAGACACTTAGATTTTAGGTCAGGTGAGAGTTGAAGAGGTTTTACGTTTTTGAAGACACAGGCTAAGGGAGAAGAAGGAGGAATGGAGGGTGGAAGGTTGTCCATGGTGAAGGAAGCAAGCCTAGAGAAAAGAGAGAGTAGAGACATGGAGGGAAGGGGTTCGGGGGTTCTTACCTTCCAGAAAAGTGGGAAAGGGGTTGGGTCATGGAAATAAGGGGTTGGGGCACAGAGATAAGAGGTCAGGGTGCAGAAATAAGGGATGGGGCACAGAGATATAAGAGGTTGGAGTGTGGAAATAATGGATTGGGTACAGAGATAAGAGGTCGGGGTGTGGAAATAAGGGATTGGGGCACAGAGATACGAGGTTGGGGTACTTCCCCCTCCCCTAGAAAAAGGGGGACTTGCCGCTCAGGGTGAAGGAGAAGGGGTTGGGGTTTCTTGCCCCCAGAAAGGTGGAGAAGGAGTAGAGACATGGAGAGAAGTGGTTGGGGTACTTGCCCCTTCCCCAGAAAAGCGGGACTTGCCGCTAAGGGTGAAGGACCAAGGCAGGCGTCCCTGCATGTTCTGACACCTCTGAAACCTGGGTGAATATTCAGAGAGGCATCCCTGCAATGATTAAACACCAAGGGAAGCCTGCCTTCCCTAGTCTGTGGCTGGCGCCGGAGTTTTGGGTCCACGGATAAAACGTGTCTCCTTTGTCTCTACCAGAAAATGAAAGGAATTGAAATTAAGAGAAGGGAGAGATTGAAGAGTGAAAAGGAGAAAGTGGTTGAGGGACGGTGAGAGAGGCTGGAGAAGAGAGTAAGAAGAGGCCGCTTACTGGATTTGAAATTGGTGAGATGTTTCTTGGGCTGGTTCGTCTGAGGACCTGAGGTCGTAGGTGGATCTTTCTCATGGAGCAAAGAGCAGGAGGATGGGGGATTGATCTCCCAAGGGAGGTCCCCCGATCCGAGTCATGGCACAAAATTTCATGCGCGTCCATGTGAAGAGACCACCAAACAGGCTTTGTGTGAGCAATAAAACTGTTTATTTCACCTGGGTGCAGGTGGGCTGAGTCAAAAAAGAGAGTCAGTGAAGGGAGATAGGGATGGGGCCATTTTATAGGATTTGGGTAGGTAAAGGAAAATTGCAGTCAAAGGTGGGGTGTTCTCTGGTGGGCAGAGTGGGGGTCACAAGGTGCTCAGTAGAGGAGCTTTTGAGCCAGGATGAGCCAGGAGAAGGAATTTCACAACAGAAGACAATGTCATCAGTTAAGGCAGGAACAGGCCATTTTCACTTCTTCTGTGGTAGAATGTCATCAGTTAAGGCAGGAACCAGCCATCTGGATGTGTACATGCAGGTCACAGGGGATATGGCTTAGCTTGGCCTCAGAGGCCTGACAGATTAAATTGCTTTTAACATGGTAGAATTAATTTAACATAGAATTTAATTAAAGAAGACTATTCAGAGAGAATGTGATTGGGATATATTTAGTGATCAAGGTGGCTTCATGGGTTGACTAAAGTGTAGGTTTCTTTCTCACTATAGGCCCTTGACCTCTTTTATCTTAGAGCATTTACTTTAGAAGACTTGTAATTGCAAATTCTTCCTCTGCCTCTTGTGAAGTGTATACACATTTCCTGGAAAGACTCTTGTCAAGTTCAGAACCCAGGAGTATCTTTCTCAAGGACCTGGGAGCTCATAGTCTCATAGAGGAGATATACACACTACTATTGGATTCATCATCAATGTTTAATAATGAATAAATTTATGTGAGTGCATAAACAATATAAAATATATAATTTTTTTTTCCAAAAGGAAGTAGAAGACAAGTTCACTTAGAAAATTTACCCTACATATAGACATAATTAATAGTCTTTTAGCTACATAGATCTAGATGCAGGATTGGGTTATTACTTGCCTGAAAATAAAGATAGTTTACTTATCACTACATAGGGACAAATAATTATATCATAACTACAGTAGCATATCTGGGGTATTTTAAATAGGCCTGATAGACAATGATGAAGAATTTAAATTCCAGCATGCTACCAAATGTATAACAACTACAAAAAAAATTAATAAGCAATTTGGTACAGTTAGTTAAACAAGTCTATTTGAAAGTTTGACAATGCAATACAGACAATGCTATGAATTCACTGTATTGATTTTATTTTATTTACAGGCAGGAGTATAGACAATATATTCCAGCTTTACTAACAGATAAGGCTATGAGACTGAGTTTTGTTTAGAGAAGTATAGATACAAGGGATGGTCAAAGGCCAGATGTCTAAGACCTCTTGTGAGGTCCCATATTATTATTAATATTTTGGTTTTGATATACTGAAGTTTATTTTCTACCATAGTATAGTTTAGCATAACCTAAACTACGTAGGACAAGTAGAATAAAAAGATAAAAATGTTATTTTAATGCTCAAGGAACCCTATTTTACGTAGCTGAAGATTCTCTGTAACTGTATGTTTTTTCTTAGAATTCTTATGAGAAATTTACATCCAGGCACTATTGTAGATCCAGATTTTGGGGAGTATGGGAAGAATGAATAAATTAACTATAATTAAGTATGTTCGCAAAGTAATGAGTTCTTACTCCTGAATTATATATGGTTATGTTTTAGTTTGAATTGCATGCTGTTAATTTACACAGCAGTAGTTAAATTATGTATTGTATATTGTCTGTAGTAAGTATAAGTATTTTACCAGCCTACAAAATTGTCTTCCTCAAGCAAATTTTCATTAACAGGATTGTGAAATATTCAATAATTAAGCATTCTAGATGACTAAGTAACATAATGTTCCCATTGAATTTTTCTGGTTTAATTAACTTTATATTTTAAAAATTATGATTTAAACATAAACTTTAAAATTATTCTGTCTATAAATTAATGTTAAAACAAAAAGGGAATATGATATTGAGATAGAATAAAAATTATAAAATATAATTGAGTAGGAAATACTTTGTGTAATATTCAATGTTCTTAAAAAGGATTTATTGCAATTTTAATTATAACTGGAAAGGTTTATTGTTTATGCACCTGGTACATGAAGTATGGAACAGCTGTCTCTACAGTATCTTTGTATTTTAAATTGGTGCTATTCTGTCTTCTTTTAAATATAAAAGCATTTGTTTTTAATCCAATAGCTATTTTAAAACTAATAACTACACTGAATATGAAATAATTATCCATGGCTATTAATAAAATGTTTCATTTATTATTTATTGTATACAACTTTTAAAGAATGTATAACATATATCTCTGTGTATGTGTGTAGTATTTTTTCACATGTATTTAAAACATGATAAATTAAGAGGATAGAGAAGCAATAAAATGTTCTCAATTTATGCATTTTGGCATGACAGGATGTTGTACATAGTAAGGGAAATGACTTACAATGTAATATGGCAGACTTTGCTATGTGGAAAGAGATTATAATAATATAAAATAACATTAACAAAATATAATAATATATGACATTGTTTCTAGAATGAATATAGATTAATGATATATATATACCCAATTTATAATATAAATAATTATAATCTGGAGTTAAGTCAATGTCAACTAGCTATAGTGTTATAAAATATGAAATATACAGATGATAACTGTTTAAAAAAGGTCTAAAGACAAAAAGCTTCATTAATCTCTATTCTTATTATATACTTATTATATACTTACATGTTGGTCAGTACTGTCATTTTTCTGCTTAATGAATGCAGATCTTGCCTTTGCATAAAGCTAGTGTATTAGTCTATTTTCACGCTGATGATAAACACTGGGCAACTTAAAAAATGAAAAGGTTTACTGGACTCACAGTTCCACGCGGCTGGGGAGGCCTCGCAATCATGGAGGAAGGCAAGGAGGAGCATGTCACGTCTTACTTGGATGGCAGCAGGCAAAGAGAGAGCTCGTGCAGAGAAACTCCCGCTTTTAAAACCATCAGTTCTCATGAGACCCATTCACTATCATGAGAACAGCGTGGGAAAGACCAGCTCACATGATTCAGTCATCTCCCACCAAGTCCCTCCTAAAACATGTGGAAATTATGGGAACTACAAAATAAGATTTGAGGGGGACACAGTGCCAAATCATATCAGCTAGAAAGCCCCAGCATCACCAGGGTGAGTTACCAGAATCAACCCTTGACCAACACAGAGGTTAGGAGCTCTGGCCCTTCTGCAATTGAAAATTAACATATAACTTTTGACTTACCCAAAACTTCAAAATTAATAACCTACTTTTGACTGGAAGTCTTACTGATAACATAAACCATTAATTAACACATATTTTGTTTGCTATAGGTATTATATATTGTATCTTACAATGAAACAAGCTAGAGAAAACAAATATTAAGAAAATTGTAAGCAAGAAAAATATATTTATAATATTATACTCTATTTATCAGATAAGTTTAAGTTATTCGTTTGCAAGATGAATCATCTATCTGAAATGGTGGATGACCACAGCTGCAGACCTCAATCTACAGTTTATATTAAGTAATTCCATTTTATTCTTGTAATGTTATGACTCTTCTCTGCTTGGGAGCACTTCCAGCATCACTAGTGGCACTTTGTATGGGTATTGAGACAGCCAGGTAGGAGGGTCTGATGGTTAATACTGACTGTCAACTTGATTGTATTGAGAGAAACAAAGTAGTAATCCTGGTTGTGTCTTGTGGGTGTTGCCAAAAAAGATTAACATTTGAGTCAGTGGGCTGGGGAAGGCAGATCCACCTTAATCTGGTGGGCACGATCTAATCAGCTTCCAGCAAATATAAAGCAGGCAGAAAAATGTAGAAAGGAGAAATGGGCCTAGTCAACCAGCCAACATCTTTCTCCCATGCTGGATGTTTCCTGCCCTCGAACATCAGACCCCAAGTTCTTCAGTCTGGGACTCTGACTGGCTCTCCTGGCTCCTCAGCTTCAAGACAGCCTATTGTGGGACCTTGTGATTGTGTAAGTTAATACTTAATAAACTTTATAGTTATAAATATATATATTTATCAGTATACTTATACTATTATATATCTTGGTATATATAATATATACTATTAGTATACATATTAGTGTATATATACTGATATATATATGTGTGTGTGTATATATATATATACTATATACTATATATATATACTATTAGTTTTGTCCCTCTAAGAGAACCTGTCTAATACAGATTTTGGTACCAGGAGTGGGTTAGAGAGGAACTGAATATTAAGGATGGAGTTCTTTCGTTGGTTTTGGAGTTTCTGGAGTTGGCTGCTTAATATAATTAGACCCCAAAACGCTAAGAACTCTACTTCTAATAGCATGAACACTGATAGTCCTTGGCATGAACTGTTTAGAAAGTTATGCAAAATAAATGCATTTGACACTCCTGATTCACTGTTCATGAGAAGCAAGGAGTTTAGTGACTTTATACATAATACCTTTGACCAGCTGTGGAGAACAAAGGAACGTAATGAAGCTGATTGTTTGTTCCTAAGTTCAGTGGACAAAGTGATGAAAGAAAATAGTGAACTCAGGGATTCTGTCTCCCAGCTTCAGAATCAGATACTGAGCCTCGATTCTGCTAAGATTGCCCTAAGTGACAGTCCTATCTCCTGTAGAGAAAAAGCTGAAATTGTGGAAAAACAGACACAAGCTCTTATCATGCGAGTGGCTGACCTGCAATGAAAGGTGCATTCCCAGCCTCTCCAGGTGTCTACTGTTAAAGTGAAGACATTGATTGGAAAGGAATGGGACCCTGCAACTTGGAATGGGGATGTGAGGGAGGACCTGATGAAGCTGGAGACACTGAGCTTGTAAACTCCGATGAACTTTTTTTGCCAGAAGGAACAACTTCCCCATCCCTAATAGTGGCAACATCCCCTCCCCAACCCATGCTGTCATCAGACTTTTCACCTTTGTCTAAGGAGAAAAATCCTGCACTGCCTGAGGCTATAGTGATGGCCTCCTCGAGGCAGTTGCCAGGCAAGATAATATTGATTCTCCTCAGGAGCCAATACCCCTGTTTGCTTCTAGACTTATAACTAAAGTCCTGGCAGGCCCCTGAAGGTGAATTTGATAGTGTGATCCATGAGGAGGTGCACTACACTCAAAAAGAACTGCTTGAGTTCTCTAATTTTTATAAACAGCAATCTGGAGAACAGGCATGGGAATGGATATTAAGGGTATCAGATAATGGTGGAAGGAACCTAGAGTTGGATCAGGCTGAATTTGTTGATTTGGGCCCACTAAGTAGGAACTCTGCATTTAATGTTGCAGCTTGGGGAGTTAAAAAAGTTTCTAATAGTTTATTTGCTTGGTTAGCTGAAATATGGATTTAAAGATGGCCCACTGTGAATGAGCTGGAAATGCCTGATCTCCCTTAGTTTAATGTAGAGGAAGGGATCCAAAAGTTTAGGGAGATTGGATGGTGGAGTGGATTAGTTACTTTAGACCTACTCATCCAGCTGGGAGTGGCCAGAAGATATAACCTCGACAAATGCCTTGAGAAATAGATTTGTGAGGTCAGCACCTGCACTTTGAAGAGCCCTGTAATTGCTCTTTTCTGTGTGTCAGATCTAACAGTAGGAATCATGGTCGCTCAACTACAAAATTTAAATACAACCAGCATATTGGATCCCGAGGTGGCAGGGGCCAAGTGGCAGCACTCACCAGTCAAAGGCAAGGTGGATGTAGCTACCTTAATGGACAGCAGAGGCAAAGCGGCAATCAGAATAGTCTGACTTGTGTAGAGCTCTGGCATTGGCTAATTAATCACTGTGTTCCTAGAAGTGAAATTGATAGGAAGCCTACTGCATTCCTACTTAATTTATATAAGGAGAAAACTTCTGGGTTGAATGGATGAAAGAATAATTTGAGTTATAAAAGCAGAGAATCATGGCCCCTCAATCAATTTCCAGACTTCAACCAGTTTACAGACTCAGACACCCAGAATGAAGGAGATGCCAGGTACCCTTGAGGAAAGACTCCACCACATTACCGACAACTTATGTAGTGAATCTTTCTCCCACCCTTCCCCAAAGAGACTCTGACATTTTACCAGGATAAATGTGTATTGGGGAAAGAGAAATGATCCAACATTTCAAGGACTACTGAACATCAGCTCTGAGCTGACGTTGATTCCAGGACACCCAAACTGTCATATGGTTCTCCAGTTAATGTAGGGGTTTATGGACGTTAGGTAATTAATGGAGTTTTAGCTCAGGTCTGATTTACAGTGGGTCCAGTGGGTCTCTGGACTCATCCTGTTGTCATTTAACCAGTGCCAGAATGCATAATAGGCATAGACATACTTAGTAGCTGGCAGAACCACCACGTTGGCTCCCTGACTGGTAGGGTGAGGGCTATGATGGTGGGAAAGGGCAAATGAAAGCCATTAGAGCTGCCTCTACCTAGAAAAATAGTAAATCAAAAATAATATATCCCTGGAGGGACTGTGGAGGTTAGTGCCACCATGAATAACTTGAAAGACACATGGGTGGTGATTCCCACCACATCCGCATTTAACACTTCTATTTGGCCTGTGCAGAAGACAGATGGATCTTGGAGAATGACAGTGGATTATTGTAAGCTTAACCAAGTGGTGACTCCAACTGCAGCTGCTGTACCAGATGTGATTTCATTGCTTGAGCAAATTAACACATCTCCTGGTATCTGGTATGCAGCAATTGACCTGGCAAATACCTTTTTTTCCATTCCTGTCCATAAGGCCCACCAGAGGCAATTTGCCTTCAGCTGGCAAGGCCAGCAATATACCTTCATTGTCCTACCTCAGGGGTATAGCAACTTTCCAGCTTCTGTCATAATCTTATTAGGAGAGAAGTTAATCACTTTTTGCTTCCACAAAATATCACACTGGTCCATTAAATTGATGACATGCTGATAATGAATCTGACTAAAATTCAGGGACCTTCTACCTCAGTAAAATGTATAGAGGTCCAGTAGTATGAGGCCTGTTGAGATATTCCATCTAAGATAAAGTACAAAATGCTGCATTTGGTTCCTCCTGCAATCAAGAAAGAGACACAAGCCCTAGTGGGTCTATTGAGATTTTGGAGGAAACACATTCTTCATTTGTGTGTGTTACTCTGGCTCATTTATCTAGTGACCTGAAAGGCTGTCAGTTTTGAGTGGGATCCAGAACAGGAGAAGGCTCTGCAACAGGTCCAGGCTACTGTGCAAGCTGCTCTGCCACTTGGGTCATATAACCCAACAGATCCAATGGTGTTTGAGGTGTCAGTGGCAGATGGGAATGCTATTTGGAGCCTTTGGCAGGACCCAACAGGTAAATCACAGTAGAGGCCTCTAGGATTTTTGAGAAAGTCCCTGCCATATTCTGCAGATAACTACTCTCCTTTTGAGAGACAACACTTGGCCTGTTACTGGACTTTGGTGGAAACTGAATGCTTGACTATGGGTCCTCAAGTCACCATGTGACTTGAACTGCCTATCATGAACTGGGTGCTTTCTGACCCATCTAGCCATAAAGTGGGTGGTGCACAGCAGCATTTCATCATCAAATGGAAGTGGTATATATGTGATCGGGCTCTAGCAGATCCTGAAGTCACAAATAAGTTACATGAAGAAGTGGCTCAAATGCCTATGGTCTCCACTCCCACCACCCTGCCTTCTCTTCCCCAGCCTGCACTGATGGCCTCATGGGTAGTTCCCTATGATCAGTTGACAGAGGAAGGGAAGACTAGGGTGTGGTTCACAGATGGTTCTGCATGATATGCAGGCACCACCTGAAAGTGGACAGCTGCAGCACTACAGCTCCTTTCTAGGACATCCCTGAAGGACAGTGGTGAAGGGAAATCTTCCCAGTGGGCAGAACTTTGAGCAGTGCACCTGGTTGTGCAATTTGGATGGAAGGAGAAATGGCCAGATGTGCGATTATATACTGATTCCGGGGCTGTAGCAAGTGGTCTGGCTGGATGTTCAGGGACTTGGAAGAAGCATGATTAGAAAATTGGTGACAAAGAAATTTGGGGAAGAGCTATGTGCATGGACCTCTCTGAGTGTTCAAAAACCAGTTGGAGTCCCTGTTTCCCGCTTTTCACTCAGTAAAACCTTACTATTCAATTGTCTGTGAGCCTGAATTTTGTGGCCATGGGACAAAGAACCCCGTCTTTAGCTCAACTAAGGAAAAGTCTGGCAACAGTGTCATCATGATATTCAAGGTTTATGATATTCCACTAAACACAAAAAAGAATACGTGAGAACCACACAAGATCACTTTTTACCGTGATATGCAGTTTACTGGAGAGACCAACTGCTCATGTGGAGATGACTAGTCACATAGCATTTTAAGCAGATACTCGCAACATTTGACCTCACTACGATAGCAAGAGGAGGTGGCTGTGAAACTATTATGGTACTACAGTGTGTACCACAGTTAATTTTATGCACTTCTACTTTACTTGACATCTTTACATTTATTTACATTTATGTTCTATAAATGTTCTATGGCACCATGTATGTTCTACAAGTGTATTCGTGATTTTTGATAAATTTTAAATTTTTGTAATAGCCTTGTGTATATTTCATAGTATAGATAAAATATAGTATCTACATATATTTATGTATTCATGGCATATCTATTTATTTCTTTTTTATTTTTGTATTTCTAGGCTATGTGTTTCATCTGTGAGTTTTTTCAAATTGTCACGTATCTCCAAAGAATTATTCAATATATTTATTGAAAAAAGTTCACATATATGTGGACCTGCTCAGTTCAAACTTGTGTTATTTAAAGGTTAACTGTACATTAATTTATATAACACAAGCCTCTTTGTCCAGATTTTATAGAACTATATAGGAATTCAGCTCTCAAAATCCGGATATTTGTCATTATGTAGGGTCAATTGAGTTATGTCTCCAAGTTCAATTTTAAAAGAAAACTCAAATTGCTAACATTTATCTAAACTTAGTTTTAACAACTTTAAGAAAGACCAACCACTCTTATTAATACCAGAGGCCCTTAGGGAATATAATAAAGCATTGTGTTACATATAAAGTTATATTCTAGTGATAGGCAATAATAATTGTTTTATTTCAGTTATTTCATTTTTTAGTAATATGCAGTATTGTCACCTGCTTTCTTATGATTTCACTATTGTTTACAAGAACTAAGCTGAATTGCAAAAAAAAAAAAAAAAAGAAACCAAAACAAAACAAATCTACACTGTATTTGTTTTAACATTTTTTTCTATTATTTCAATGTAGGCAACTCTAGAAAAGTTAACATCCCTCTAAAAACCCATTTCCCTTTTACTTCTAACTTATCATTTTAAATTTGAAAAGGAAAGCAGGAAGACACTTATGCTGTTCTTTTTTTTTCTTTTTAAATAAAACTGATTATTTTAAGGGAAGGTAAAGAAAACCCAAAAGTTCCCATTTTGTTAGTATTTTCATTCATTTTGCTCATCAATATGAAAAGCCACAAGGTACTATAGATTGCAACAGATTTTTCTAATAACAGGATATAACACAGTGACTGGCTTAAATATTAGGCTAGTGGAACAGGCAATTAAGCCAAAAGTCTGAAAATTCAAAACTTCTGATTCAGAAGGTGGTTGTCTGCCAAGTTATCATGCAATCCACATGCCAACTGATGAATGCAATTGAAGACAGCATAAGGTAAAGATAAATAGTACCTTATAATCATTCTTTTTTTTTCAAGGATAATCCTTAATTAACTCTCTGCACTTTATAGCACATATATTTTATAGCAAATAATTTACTACAGTATAAATTTTATTATTAGTTGTGGATGACTCATTACACAAATGGTAAAATTTTTGTTATAGTCCCACAGGTTAATGAGGCTCTGTCATTTATTTTTTGGTCTATTTTTCTTTTCTGTTTAGGTTAAATTTTTTTCTATATTTCAGTTCAGTTTTTTTCCTCTGTCCCACCATTCTGCTTTTGAGTTTATCCACTGGGTGTATTTTACTTGCCTATAATAATTTTCAGTTTTATAATTTCTATTTGGTTCTTCACCATCTCTTTTATTTTTCTACTGAGACTTTCTATTTCTGTGCTAATATTTTTTAAAATAAATTATTTGATTTCTATATGTTCATAATAGTTCATTAAAGTATTTTTACCATAGCCGATTTACAATCTTTCTCAGACTTTTTTCCACTTCTCTCACCTCGGTGTTTGCATCTATTGAAATTGTTTATTCATTCAGTTTGATGTCTTTTTAATTCTTGCTATAGAAATAATTTAAGGTTGAAACTCAATTCTTTGCATACAATTTTATAAGTATTTACATATTACTTAAACCATCGGTTTTAATTGACTTTCTTTGACACCATTCAGGAAGGAGGAGGAGTGTTGCCACCTTATTTCTGCTATCTCTTTTCTGCTAAAAAGCCCTTGTACCCTACTTGGCCTACTTCTTTTCTTCATCTTTCTAAGAGAGTCTTTCAACCATTATTTGTTTAAAATAAATGTGATTTCCAGAGTTTTTAGTTGGACTTGATGGGAGCAGTATGTCTACTCTCTCTTACCCAAAGGGAAAGACCTCTGTTGCTTTTTCACAACAATGCAGCAGCAGAATTATTTACAGAAATAGAGGTCAGACACTGGGAGAGATGTTCTGTCATTTGGGCTCAGACATCATAAAAGAGAAGGATTGGCTCATCTCCTGGCAGAATCAGTATGTAGTTTTTAAACCTATGACATGTTAAAACACTGGCCTTCACTATTTGGTGAAAAAAAAAAACAAACTACAGATGACATAACTACAATCTAGAAATTATTTCAAAATCATTAAATACTCGTTTAGCAAAATAAATACACGTGGAGAGTCCCAATTTGGGGCTCTGTACTGAGTAATCTGTGCTCTGGTTTCCCTAGTGGCCTAGTAAAACTTTCATAGATCTGCATCATGTTCTCACAGTTTTCCACGTTTATTTCTGGTGCCCAATCCCCTGACCCGCCACCTCCTACTTTTTTTGAGTTTACTCCACAATGAATGTTTCCATTGCTAAATTTGTTTCAATGTATGTTTTCTGAAGGATCCAATTGCACACGTTTTGGGTACTAGTAATATGCAAAGTATACACTTTGAGGGAAAGGTGCTATTACAAGAGAATAAGATATTCATTTTTAATAAAATAGAAAATAATCAAGCATCAACCATCAGAATATATGAGATATGTATCTTTAGATACCCAGGAACACAGTTTGAAAATGTATAAGGCATATACATTTAAAAAGGTAGATTAGCCAAATCCCGTATCAAAATAGGAGACTTTTCTTTCAACTTTTATTTTAGGTTCAGGGCGTATATATGCAGGTTTGTTATATGGGTAAATAGCATGTGGCTGGAGTTTGGTGTACAGATGATTTTGTCATCCAGGTAGTGAGCATATACCCAATAGGTAGTTTTTTGAGCCTCGCCCTCCTCCCATCTACCTGCTTTAAGAAGTCCCCGGTATCTATTGTTCCCATCTTTGTGTCCATGTGTACTCAATGTTCAGTTCCTACTTATAAGTGAGAACATGTGGTATTTGGTTTTCTGATTCTGCTTCATTTCACTTGAGATAATGGCCTCCAGCTCCATCCACGGTGCTACAAAGGACATGATTTTACTTTTTTTTAAATGGCTGCATGGTATTTTATGGTGTATTTATACCACAGTTTCTTTATCCCATCCACCTTTGATGGGCTTGCAGGTTGAATCAATGTCTTTGCTATTGTAAATAGTGCTACAATAATAAACATACACATGCATGTGTCTTTTTGGAAAAATGACTTATATGCTTTTGAGTATATATGCAGTAATGGGATTGCTGGGTCAAATGGTAGTTATAAGCTCTTTGAGATATATCCACACTGCTTCCAACAGTGGCTGATAGGAATTTAAAGTCCCACCAACATTGTATAATCATTCTCTTATCTCTGTAACCTCACCGACACCTGTTACTTTTTTACTTTTAATAATAGCCATTTTGACTGGTGTAGGATAGTCTTGATTCCAAACCATTACCAATGGTTTTGATTTGCATTTCTCTGATGATTAGTGATGTGGAGCATTTTTGCATACACTTGTTGGCCACATGGATATCTTCTTTTGAAAAATGTCTCTTCATGTACTTTGCCCATTTTTAATGGAGTTATTTGTTTTTGGCTTGTTAATTTGTTTATGTTTCTTAAAATTCCAGACATTAGACATTTGTCAGATGCATAGTTTGAAATATTTTCTCCCATTCTGTAGGTTGTCTCTTTACTCTTTTGGTAGTTTATTTCACTGTGCAGAAGCTTTTTAGTTTAATTAGAAGTCTCTTGTCAAATTTGTTTTTGTTGCAATTACTTTTCAAGAATTTGTCATAAAATCTTGGCCAAGCCCTGTGTCCAGAATGGTATTTTCTAGATGTTCTTTTAGAGTTTGTAAAGTTTTGGGTCTTATGTCTAAGTCTTTAAACCATTTTGAGTTGATTTTTGTTTATGGTAAAAGAAAGGGGTCCAATATCAATCTTCTTCTTCATATGGTTGGCCAGTTATCCAGGCACCATTTATGGAATAAGGATTCCCTTCCCTGTTGCTTATTTTTGTTAGCTTTGTCAAAGAACAGATGTCAGTAGCTGTGTGGCTTTATTTCTGGGTTCTCTATCCTCTTCCATTGGTCTATGTGTCTGTTTTGGTTCCAGTACCATGGGGTTTTGGTTACTGTGGCCTTAGAGTTGGAAGTTGGGTAATGTGATTCCTCCAATTTTGTTTTTTTCACTTTGGATTCCTTTGTATATTTGGGCTCTTTTTTTGTTCTATGTTAATTTTTATTTTTGTTTCTAATTCTGTGAGAACTGCCATTTGTAGTTTGGTAAGAATAGTATTAAATCCATAAATTGCTTTGGGCAGTATGGCCATTTCACCAATATTGGTTCTTCCAATCCATGAGTATGGAATGTTTTGTTCCATTTGTTTGTGTCATCTTGGATTTTTTTCAACAGTGTTTTATAATTCTTGTTATAGAAATCATTGGTTAGTGACATTCCTAGATACTTTATTCTTTTTTGTGGACTTTGTGAATTGGATTACATTCTTGGCTTGGACATTATTCGTGTGTAGAAATGATACAGATTTTTTTCATTGATATTGTATCCTGAAACCATACTGAAGCTTTTTTTCTTTTCTTTTCTTTTCCTCTTTTTTTTTTTTTTTTAAATCAGTTCTCAGAACCTTTGGGCAGAGACTATGGGGTTTTCTAAGTGTTACGTATAATCATATCATCTGCAAAGAGAGATAGTTTGACTTCCTTTCTTCCTACTTGGATGCCTTTCTTTTCTTTCTCTTGCCTGATTGCTCTGACTAGGACTTCTAATACTATGCTGAATAGGAATGGTGGGAGTGGGCATCCTGTCTTCTTCCAGCTCTCCAGGGGAATGTGTTGAGCTTTTGCCCACTTAATGTGATGATGTTTGCTGTGGGTTTGTCATGGATGGCTCTTATAATTTTGAGATATGTTTTTACCAGGCCTAGTTTGTTGAGGATTTTTAACATGAAGAGATATTGAATTTTATCTAAAGCCTCCTCTGCATCTGTTGAAATAAACATTCGGTTGTTCTTTTTAGTTCTGTTTATATGATGAATCACATTTATTGATTTGCATCTGTTGAACCAACCTTCCATCTCAGAAATAAAGCCTACTTGATTTTGATAGATTAATTTTTTAATATGCTGATGGATTTTATTTACTAGGATTTTGTTGAGAATTTTTGTTTACATGTTCATCAGGAATATCGTATAGTGTGTTTTCACATTGCTATAAAGAAATACCTGAGACTGGGTAATTTATAGAAGAAAGAGGCTTAATTTGCTCACAGTTATGCAGGCTGTACAGGAAGAATAGCAGCTTCTGCTTCTGTGGAGGCCTTAGAAAGCTTTTACTCCTGGCAGAAGGTGAAGCAGGAGCCAGCACATCATACATGACAGGAGCAGGAGCAGGAGCAGGAGCACAGTGGGGAGGTGCTACAAACTTTTAAACAATCGGATTTCATAAAAACTCATTATTATGAGAATAGCACCAAGGGATCATTCATGAGAAATTCATCCCCATGATCCAAGCACCTCCCGCCAGGCCCCACCTCCAACACTGGGCATTATAATTTGACAGAAGATTTAGTTGAGGACACAGATCTAAATTATATGAGATATTGGCCTGAAGTTTTCTTTTTTTCTGTATCTCTGCCAGGTTTTGGTATCAGAATGACGCTGGCTTCATATAATGGGTTCCTCCTTTATTGTTTGGAATCATTTTAGTACAAATGGTACCAGCAATCCTTTGTATGTCTGGTAGAATTTAACTGTGGTTCTGTCTGGTCCAGAGCTTTTTCTGCTTGGTAGGTTTTTTATTACTGATTAAATTTTGGAAATTGTTACTGCTCCCTTCAAGATTTCAATTTCTCCTTGTTTCTATCTTGAGAGGTTGTATGTTTACAGAAATGTATCCATTTCTTCTAGGTTTTCTAGTTTGTGTGCATAGATGTGTTTGTAATAGCCTGTGATGATATTTTGTATTTCTGTGGGGTCAATGGAAATGTCACTTTTGTCATTTCTGGTTTTGCTTGTGTGGATCTTCCTTTTCTTCCTTAATAATATTGTTTAGCAGTCTATCAGTCTTATATATTCTTTCTAAGAGGGAACTTGTTGGTTTCATTATCTTTTATATGGATTTTTGTACTCAATTTTTTTCAGATCAGGTTTGATTATGGTTATTTTTTTTTCTTCTGATAGCTTTGGGATTTGTTTGCCCTATTTTTCTAGTTCCTCTAGGTATGATGTTAGGTTGTTAGTTTGAGACCTTTCTAACTTTCTGATGTAGGTGTTTAGCACTATAAACTTTCCTTTAACACTGTTTTAGCAGTGTCCCGGAAATTCTGATATATCTATGTTTTCATTTGTTTCAAACATTTTTTTTTATTTCTGCTTTTATTTCATTCTTTACCTAAAAGAAATTCAGGAGCAAGTTATTTAATTTTAATGTAATTGTATGGTTTTGAGAGCGCCTCCTTGGTATTGGCTTATATTTTTATTGTGATCTGGTCTGAAAGTGTGGTTGACACAAGTTCCATTGTTTTGAATTTGGTGAGATCTGCTTTATGGCTGAGTGTGTGTTTAATCTCAGAGTATGTGCCATGTGCAGATGAGAAAAATGTTTATTCTCTTGTTGGGTATTCTCTTGTTGGGTAGGGTATTCTCTAGGTGTCTGTTAGGTCTATTTGGTAGTGTCAAGTTCAGGTCCTGAACATCTTTGCTAGTGTTTTGCTTTGATGATCTGTTTAACACTGTCAGGGAATCTTTAAGTCTCCCGCTGTCATTGTGTGGCTATCTGAGTCTCCTTGTAAGTTTCTAAGAATTTGTTTTATGAGTCTGAGTGCTCCAATATTGGGTGCATATGTATTTAGGAGAGTTAAGTTTTCTGAACCCTTTATTATTATGTAGTGCCCTTCTTTGTTCTCCCCATCTCATCTCTCTTTTTTTTTTTTTTTTTGTCCTGCTCTGTTGATTAGGCTGAAGGGCAGTGGCCTGATCATGGTTCACTGCAGCCTCTACTTCCTGGGCTCAATCAATCCCCACACCTCAGCTTTTTGAATAGCTGGGACTATAGGCACACACCACCATGAGCAGCTAATTTTTGTATTTTTTGTAAAGATGAAGTTTTGCCATGTTGTCCAGATTGGTCTCGAATTGCTGGGCTTAAAAGATTCACTCATCTCACCCTCCTAAAGTGCTGGGATTACAGGTGTGAGCCACCATGGCTGTCTCTCTTAGTACAATTTTATCTTTGTTGGTTTAAAGTTAGTTTGGTCTGATATAAGGATAGCAACCTCTACTCTTTTCTGTTTTTTGTTTGCCTAATATATTTTTTTCCAACTCTATACTTTGAGCCTCTGGGAGTCATTGCATCTGCGATGGGTGTCTCAAGGCAACACACAATTTTTTATCCAACTTGCCACTCTGCCTTTCCAGTGGAGTGTTTAGCTCATTTACATTCAAGGTCAATATTGACGTGTGGATTTGACCCTGTCATCATATTGCTAGCTAGTTATTTTGCAGACTTCATTGTATAGTTGTTTTGTAGTGTCAGTAGGCTATGTATGTAAGTGTGTTTTTGTGGTGGCAGGTATTGGTCTTTCATTTCCATGTTTAGCACTCCCTTAAGGATGTCTTATAAGCAAGGTCTTGTGATAACAAATTCCCTTTGCATTTTTGCATCTGTTTATCCAAAAAGTGTTTATTTCTCTGTTTATAAAGTTTGGTTTGGCTGGATATGAAATTCTTAGTTGGAATTCATTTTTTAAGATTGCTGAATATAGGCCCTAAATCTTTTCTGGCTTATAAGGTTTCTGCTGAGAGGTTCACTGTTAGTTTAATAGAGTTCCCCTTGCATATGACTTGCCCTAGCTCCCTTTAAGACTTTTTTTCTTTTCATACTGACATTGGAGAATCTGATGACCATGTATCTTGGGGATGGTCATCTTGAATAGTATCTTGCAGGGATTCTCTGAATTTCCTGAGTTTGCATGTCAACCTTTCTGGCAAAGTTGGGAAAATTTTTATGGACAGTGTTCTCAAATATGTTTTCTAAGTTGTTTGCTCACTTTCCATTTCTTTCAGGAATGCCAGTGAATCACAGGTTTGGTCTCTTCAAACAATGCCAATTCTTAGTGATTTTGCTCATTTTTTGAAATTTTTTTAAAATTTTTGTCATCATTTTGTTTCCTTCGATTGGGCTTCAAGTTTCTCCTGTATTTCATTGAGGTTCCTTGCCATCCAGTTTCTAAGTTCTGTGTCTGTCATTTCAGCTATTTCAGTCAGTTAGGAAGCATTCCTGGGGAGTTAGTGTAGTCACTTGGAGTTAAGAATGTAGTCATCTGGCTTTTAGAGTTGTCAGAATTCTTACATTGACTCTTTCTCATCTGTGTGAATTGATGTTTCTTTAATCTTTGGAGTTGTTGTCTTTTGAATAGGGCTTTTTGCTTTTATATTTTGTGATGCCCTTGAGGGTTTGACTGTGGCATAAGTTGGGTTTAGTCAATTGACTTTATTTCTAAATGCTTCCAGGGGACCAAGGCTCATCTCAACACTCCTGAACTGTGTGCTCTTTCTCTGGTGTGCTGGGATTAGGCCCATGGCTTTCTTCTCTGGCCTCTTGAGGTCAAATACCTGCTGTACTTGGGGAGCTGAGGTGTTACCAATCTGCTGGCAATAACACTCCCATGGAGGCTGCCAGCAAAATGTTCAGGTGGGGGCCCTGGGGGATGCTGGGGGAGGGATGTGGGTGTGTGTATGTGGCAGGGTAGTAGACGGGGGAGGCTCTGATTGGGTGTGTACTGGCAGGAGTCTGTCTGCAAAAGTGCTCTGATGGGAAGGTGGGAACTGCTGGTGAAAGATCTATGAGTGTGGCCAACGGTAATCATTCTGTAAGGCAGCTGAAGCTGTGTTGCAAGTGGGTGTGACCAGTTAGGGACCCACAGACAGGGGTGCATTCAGATTACACGGGCTCTGTCCCACTAGCAAGGCAGCCCTACTCTGCCCAGGTGCAGCAGCTAACAAAGGCTAAACTACCGAAAATAAACAAAACAAGGCTTGGGGGATGGTCACTCATGGCTGTGGTCCACTGCAGCCACTTCCATACCAAACCCTGTGGACTCTGTACAGACTGGAGTTCTAGCTCTGCCAACTCTCCAAGCAGTTCTTCCTGCTAACTAAAATGTCCGTAGGGGTCATGGGGTCTCCCACAGCCCAGATCGTGGAGGTCCTCGGTGAGGGTAGACCACTCCAGGCCTATTTCTCTCACCCTTTTCATAGGAGCCACTTAAATCCAGGAACACATTCTGATCCTCAGCAATCCCATGCAAGGTGTCCAGACTGTTTCCCTTTCAGTCCTGTGGCCTGCGACCTACATCTATCGACTCTCAATGCCTTCTTTCAGAAAATCTGGGTAGTCTGCTGCTCTACTTGATGGTCTGGTCTTTCTTAATGGGAAAAGTTCCTCCTGGCTGCATCTAGTTGGCCATCTTGGCTCTTTCAAAGGCATTTTTTATCTTTTAAATAGTTGTTAAAATTAAGTTTAAAAAATCTACTTAGCCCTCTATATGATTTCAATAACAAGCTTTATTTGTAAAGCATACAAAAAGCTTTATATTATAAATGGTAAAATATGTTATTTGCACATTTTAGTTCTGCATGATTTATGAAACATGACAATATTTTAAGCCAGAAAATATTAAACCATAATTTTTTTTTCTGCCTTCAAATTTTTTAATGTGTAACATGCAGTTTAATGATGAAAGACTATTAGAAGAAATACTAATAGAAGTCAGCTACATGTTTTAATTTTAAAACACTATAAACAAAGGCTGTAGCTGGCCGAGTGCGGTGGCTCACTCCTGCAATCCCAGCACTTTGGGAGGCCGAGGCGGGTGGATCACGAGTTCAGGAGATCGAGACCATCCTGGCTAACACAGTGAAATCCCGTCTCTACTAAAAATACAAATAATTAGCCGGGCTTGGTGGCATGCACCTGTAGTCCCAGATTCTTGGGAGGCTGAGGCAGGAGGATCGCTTGAACCCAGAAGGCAGAGGTTGCAGTGAGCCGAGATCATGCCACTGCACTCCAGCTTAGGTGACATAGTGAGACTCTGTCTCAAAAAAAAAAAAAAAAAAGCTGTAGCTGTTTAATACATGCATTTAGAAGTGTCTCACAATAAGCATTGGGCAGTGTGAGCTACATGTAACACCAATTGTTTTAAAAATCATATTATTAACTAGTAATGATCAACTAGAGATATCATAGTAAAAATATCCCAATCATAACTAAAAATTACCATGTAATTTGTTAGGGCTACATGAAAACACATAAAAAATTTGCTGAAGGATCAAGAAACCCCAAATAGATTTAGATATGTTTAGTGGTCATCAATGCAAAAACACTAATTCTCACCATATTAATATAGAAATGAAAATCATTTAAAACATAAATTAAAATAATTTTGTATGGACTATCACAATCTGTTTTTAAAAGTTTATCTGGAAGAGAAATTATGCAAGTACAATTAAAGAAATTTGAAAAAAATTACCTCTGTGCTGATCCTATCAAATGCTAAATTATATTATAAACATATACATTCATGTCCAATTACAGATTATAATGAAACATTACAAAATACACGTTAAGTTATATATTGCATATTAAATCAATGGGAATGGAGACACTATTCAATAAACAATATTAGCATATTTGGATAATATTTTGGCAAAGACGGAAACCAATATTCATACTTCACACTGTATACAATATCATTTCCAGACTGGTTTAAGAAATAGTTGTCTTGAACTATTATAAAACTATTATAAAACAATATAGAAAATACATACTATAATATTTTGTGAAAATTTTTTCTATGTACAAAATTTCTTAGATTATGTAAAGTAAAAAAGAAAAGCATCTGTATGGAACAAATGTGTTTGTAATAAAGGTAAGAGACAAATGGCAGATTTGGACAAAATATATATATATATACACACATATATGTGTATATATATATATGTGTGTGTATATATACATATATATATATGTATATATACACACACACCCATGAATACAAATGACATAATGAGACATAGTTTTATATAAATCAGAAGACAAAAATTACTTTATACCATTAAAGTGAGCAGTGAATACGGTGTTTTTATACACAGGGGATAGAAATGTAAGTTGGCCATACATTTTTGGAAGGCATATTTGCAATTATAACAACATTTTCAAATTGTGTACCCCTGCAATTCTACTGCTAGTAATCAATCCATCAATCCTACAGAAATAATTTCTCACATACACAAAGTTAGGTGGATGAGGATACTTTCTATATTATTTATCATAATAGGGAAAATGTAAAACCTAAATACTCATGAATGAGATAAATATTAATAAATGATGTATCAATATTGTAGCATTCCTGCCACAGCATTCCCCCAAATAATGTAATATCAAAAACAGACTATTCTTACCATGACATTCTCTCAAATCAAATCAATTGAAAAATTAAAACACTGATCTGAAATGATTTTCATGATTTTTTTTTTTTTATCAGGAAGGGATTATCAAAGTATTTATCATTTGGTCCTGTGGATGTAAAAAAAAAAAAAGAAAAAGAAAAAAAAACAACACTATAATATAATTGTGTGTGAGGACCTACAAAGGACATGGATCAGTTATTAGTAGTGGATATGTCCAGGGAGGGGAGGCAGTTTTGTGATACATAAGTTATAGTTTCAAATTTTATTTTTATTACCCTGTATGCCTCTATTCTTAAAGAAATATTAAAATAAATTGACATCTTTAAAATATAAAATAATGATCAATGCTCAAGTACGTATTAATTAGTTTTGTGTACATAATTAAGCTACCAGATTGCCAAACCCTAAAAATCTAGAAAGTAGTAAAATTGTTGGATCATGTTTTTATTTTCATTCTAGTTTAATGTGTTTCTCTTTGCCTGGGAATCCTCCTATTGCTTTTATTATCTGGCTTGAGGTGGATGTTAGCTGATGGAGTTGGGAGATTTGTGCCCTTACTTCTTTGCTTATACCATTGAACATGAGTGAATGTTTAATCTATTACTTGATTTTCTTTAAACGAGTGGTCTCTAATGTACTATAGTCTTTTTGTATCAGACAAAGCCTTTGAAACCCTTCTTAAAATAATAAATGTAAAAGAATAAATTTAAGTATATAAGATTCATGAAGACCAGTAATATTAAAATACAATTATTGAAATATTGAACAAGTTTTCACATAGTAATAGTTTTACATTTTTATATTTATTTATTAAAGTATTAAAATGTTACATAATGAGTTCTAGATGTCATAATTTTACGGTTCTGATAAATATAAACAATGTGTTGAGACTTTCCAATAATTATAATGTGAACTAAAAATATATCTTATTTCTATTGTTAACAAAGGCAGAGATGCAGTTAAAGTTACCATGACTTATTGCCACAGAAGGTAGCCTCTAAAATGTACCTCTGAGCCATGATTTCATCTCCTGTTATTCACATCTTTGTATAATGCCCCTTGAGTGAGAGTTGAATTGAGTAACTTGCTTCTAACAAATAGAGTACCACCAATGTGCTGAAATATCTTTTCTTTGATAGGTTATAAAAAGGCTGTAGCTTCTGTCTTAGTTTCTCTCTCACTGTTTTGACATGTTCTCTTGCTCTCTTTTGGATTATTTCCTCTGGGAAAAGCCAGATGCCTTGTCAAGAAGCAGCACTGGGCAGATACTCAAGTCATGATCTTGGAAGTAGACTTTCTGAGGCTTGCTATAGACAAGTGGATGAGTTTGGAAGGAGATACTCCTGGCATTAAGCCTTGACATAATTCAAGTCCTGGCTCAGACCTGCATCTAAAACACTCAGCTGAGATGCCTAGCCTAGATTCATGACTAAAAGACACCAAAGATAATAAATGTTTATTGTTTCAGATGCCAAATTATAGCATAATTGCTATGCAAAAATAGCTAGCTAATTCAAATGTGTATACTCTAGTTAAAATAAATAATAAATTTCCATTGGAGATGATAACAATAAAGATGTACTCCAGTTTCAAAGACCTCTGACTTAGAACTCTAAATTAAGAATTTCAGTTTTAGGCCTACTTGTTTGGAATAAAATAATTTCACCCATTTAAACTAAAGAGAGAACAAAGTACACATTACACTCATCTTTAAATACTTTAAATTCTGGAAAATAAAGTAAGCAATTTATGCAATGGAAGAAGGTAGCATTGATAGGCTTAAAATTGCAACCTATTTTGTCATTTTCTTAGCAAGGTGAAATTTTAACAGGACTTATCTTAGTGGAGAACATTGCCTCTTAATGTTGCAAATTCTGCTATGTAATTTGGTTACGAACAATGGGAAGAAATTTTCAGGAGCTGCACACATATGCATATGTTAAGTGATATTATTAAATTACATGAGTTTATTTAAAGTCGTGGATGCTATACTTTGATTACTGAAATAACAGACAGTTATCAGGTTAAAGATACAACTCAGGCAAAGGATCAAGGAAGTGTATTTGTCAGAATAAAATATAAATGAAAAGTTTTTAATGTTTTTAAAAAATAGATTTTATTGTATGTATTTAAGGTATATAACATAATGGTCTAAGATACGTGTATATTGCATAGAGTAAAATGGTTACCACAGTGGAGCAGAGTAACGTACACATCATCTCACATAATTACCTATTATTGCCCCTGTGGGAGGAGAAGCCTTAATCTATTCATTTTGCAAAAATTCTGAATGTAATACACCATTATTAACTATAGTCCTCATGTTGTAAAAACTTAGTTTCTAAAACATTTTAGTAAAGCCCATATTTGGTAGCTTCCTAAGGAAGTGAGAAAAGGCCGTGACATTAAAAATCTGTTGCTCTCATTGTAATAATAAAACCAGAAAATTTTTTATAAGAAAATCAGTGCTGAAAATATTCAAACCAATTTTAAAAGTTTAAAGTATGTGGATTAATAGAGAACAAATTTTGAAGATTGCTTCATAGGAAGTTAAACATCAATTTTGAAATTACTGAAAAGAAATCAAATAGCCTGGCAGCTCATAATCAGAACAACTCAGCTTCTTATTTTCAAGGACTAGCTGATAGCTACAAAGAAAAAAAAAAACATGTAAATTACACACAATTTATGTGAACAACAATGATAATAAACTTCACATCTTCATTTATACCTACCAAGTGGTATACCAGGCAAAACATAAAATTTTGTCCATTCATGAACTAAAGCCCAATCTAGTTTAGACACTTAGAATTATGTGAGAGAAGATTGTCTTTAAAGACAATATCTTACATTTGTATTTTTAATATTCTTCATTTAAGAAAATACTGGGCACTTTAGCAAACATTTCAAGGGCTGTGATAGAAATGACATACTGCAATTCACAAGAGAGACAAATTTAATATTTGTTTTTATTGACTTCTTGAATAACCACATGACCACAGAAGGAAAATGTTGTGTTTTCTGGTTTATTTGTTTTATTCTTTTAAAACACACCCTAGAAAATCATCCTTATGAGAAATCCTATTTTGTATGTGGAGTATAGCGTAATCCCTTGAAATCACTGTTTTTCTAAGATTGAGTGGTACAATTTGTTAGCCACAGAGGTTAAATATGTGTAAGAGACAGTTCATCGTTATTCTCAAAGTAAATGTGATATACATAACATAATAGTAAACCAAAGGGCCATAAAAAATAAGGATTTTTAGATACAGATTTTTTACAAAATATTCCCATTTTACATCCAAAATTTGATAATTTTAAGTGATTTTATTAAGTGAATAGAACTGTTCTGATGAAAGACTGATTAGAAGTAAACCTCATGGATGCTTTTAGAAAGCAAATAAATGAACAATATACCATTATTCATGAGTTCTAAAATATTTATGATCAGATATTGCCTCAATTGTAGAAGGTCATTTTAAAACACCATTTGTGTTGTTGTTAATGAAAGGCAAGAGCATGCCTTAGTAGGTCTGTTAATAATGATATTTTTTTCTAGTAAAATTGCTGAATTTAAAATGGCATTATTATAACATATATAAAGTCTTAACTGTCTTTAAATTAAGTATATAAACTAACAGAGTGATAATAGAATTTCTAAATTTCATAACTGAAAGAAACTTAAATTTCCTCTACAGGCTAATGTGCAATCTGTCAACCTGGTAGCGATTATGATTTTGCTTACCTTGACAATAGAAGCAAAATATTCAGAGTTATAATGGAAAAATAACAATGTAATATTGCAGTATTTTAAGATAAGTAACACATGACAATTTCAACTAATTTAAGTACTACATATACTAAAAATATCTGTTCACCCTTATGTTATCTATTTTTTTTTTATTTCAATGCTACTTACACTTACTTTAAATAGGCACATGACCAGGGCCATGCATATATTCAAGTTAATTGTGTCCTCAGCATTGTTAAAATATGTACATGGACTATCCTGAAACAGGATATTTGGAAGATTTCATTAAAATCGTTGAAAATATTTTTTAAAATAACTGGAAAAGATAAAAAGGAATTACCAAGCAGTAAGATTATTTTACAAAAAATATACATAATACACACTTGATGCTTTAGAATTATGATTTTAGATATCATATTCTGAGAAAAATATTATGTGATAAATAATGTGATGGTTAATATTGTCAACTTGTTTGGATTGAAGAATGCAAAGTATTGTTTCTGGGTGTGTCTGTGAGAGCGTTGCTAGAGTAGATTAACATTTGAGTCAGTGAACTGGGAGAGGCAGGCCCACCATTAATCTGGGTGAACACCATCCTCTCAACTACCAGCATGGCTAGAGAAAACAAGCAGAAGAAGGTGGAATGAGCAGACTTGCTGAGTCTTCTGGCCTTCACCTTTCTCCCGTGCTAGATACTTCCCACCCTCCATTATCAGGCTTCTTCGGCTTTTGGACTCTTGGACTCACACTAGTCGTTTGCCATGGGCTCTCTGGCCTTTGGCCACAGATTGAAGAATGCATGGTTGGCTTCCCTACTTTGGAGGTTTTGGGACTTGGACTTATCCACAACAGGCTTCTTTGCTTCTGAGTTTGCAGACAGTCTATCGTGGGACTCTCCCTTGTGATTGTGTGAGTGACTTCTCCTTAAAAAACTCCCTTTCATATATACATATGACCTATTTGTTCTGTCCCTCTAGAAAACCCTGAATAATACAGATTTTTGTACTGAGAGTGATTCTAGAGGAACAGAATTTTAAGGATGGATTTCTTTAGTTGGTTTTGGGCTTTTTGGAGTTGGTTGCTCAATCTGGTTAGGCCCCAAAATGCTAAGAACTCTATTAATGGTATGGAGAACACTGATAGTCCTTGATGTGAATGGTTGAGAAAGTTTTGCCAAATAAATGCACGTGATACTCCTGATTGACTGCTCTTGAAAGGCAAGGAGTTTAGTGACTCTATACATAATATCTTTGACCATATATGAAGAACCAAGGAATATAATGAAGTTGGCTAGTTGCTCCTAAGTTCACTGGAAAAAGTGATGGAAGAAAACGATAAACTCAGCGATTCTAACTCTTGGCTCCAGAAGCACACACTGAGCCTCAAATATTCTAAGATGGCCCAAGTGAAAGTCTTATCTCGTGTAGAGAAAGAGCTGAAATTGTGAAAAATCAGACACAAGCTCTTATTATGTGAGTGGCTGGCCTGCAATGAAAGGTGCAGACACAGCCTCACCGGTGTCTACTGTTAAACTGAGGGCATTGATTGGAAAAGAATGGGACCCTGAATCTTGGAATGGGGATGTGTGGGAGGACCCTAATGAAGCCGGGGGCACTAAGCTCTTAAATTCTGATGAGGCTTTTTTGTCAGAGGAAACAGACTCCCCACCCCCAATGGTGGCAACATCCCCTCTCCCACCACGCTGCCATTGCCATTGGCCTTTCCATTTTTGTGTGAGGAGATTAACTATGCACTGCTTGAGGCAACAGAGATGGCCTCTCTTGAGGCAGTTGCCATGCAAGACAATGCTGATTCTCTTCAGAATCCACCCCCAACACCACTGTTTGCTTCTAGACCTATAACTAGACTCAAGTTTTGGCAGGCCCCTAGAGGTGAGGGTCAGAGTGTGACTCATGAGGAGAAGCACTACACTCTAAAAGAACTGTTTGAGTTTTCAAATTTATGTAAGCAGAAATCTAGAGAACAGGTATGGAAATGGATATTAAGGGTGTGGGGTAATAGTGGAAGGAACATAAAGTTAAATCAGGTTGAATTAATTGATATGGACCCACTTAGCAGGGATTCTGTACTTAATACTGTAGCTCAGGGACTTAACAAATCTTTTAATAGTTCATTTGCTTGGTTAGCTACAATATGGATCAAAAGATGACCCACTGTGAGTGAGCTCAAAATGCCTGATCTCCCTTGGTTTAATGTAGAGGAAGGAATCGAAAGGCTTAGGGACACTGGGATGGTGGAGAGGCTTAGTCACTTTAGACCTACTCATCCCAACTGGGAAGGTCCAGAAGGCATATGTTTCACCAATACCTTGAAAAATAGATTTATGAGGGTAGCACATGCATCCTTAAAGGGTTCTGTGATTGCTGTTCTCTGTATGCCAGATCTTACAGTGGGAACCACAGTCACTCAATCACAAAATTTAAATGCAACGGGAATAGTTAGATCCCAAGTTGGCAGAGGCCTAGTGGCAGCACTCGATCGTCAAAGGCAAGGTGGGCATAGTTACTATGGTAAACAGCAAAGGCAAAGCAGTAATCAGAATAGTTTGACTCGTGTAGAGCTCTGGCATTGGCTAATTAATCACAGTGTTACTTGATAGAAAGTCTACTGCATTCTTACTCAATTTATATAATCAGAAAACTTCCAGGTCTTTGGACAAAAGACTAATTTGAATTATAAAAATAGAGAGTCATAGCTCCTCAATAATTTCCAGACTTGAACCAGTTTACAAAACCAGAACCCCTTGAATGAAGGGATGGCCAGGTCCCCTTGAGGAACGACCACACTATACTGCCTACAATTTATTGTTAATATTTCTCCCATCCTTCCCCAAAGAGACCTCTGGCCTTTTACCAGGGTAACTGTGCATTGGGGAAAGGGAAATGATCAGACCTTTCAGGGACTACTGGACACTGGCTCTGAGCTGACATTGATTCCAGGGGACACAAAATGTCATTGTGGTCATCCACTTAAAGTAGGAGTTCATGGAGGTCAAGTAATTAATGGAGTTTTAGCTCAGGACTGACTTAACAGTGGGTCTAGTGTGTCCCCAGACTCATTCTGTGGTCATTTCCCCAGTGCCAGAATCCATAATTGGCGTAGACATACTTAGCAGCTGACAGAGCCCCCACATTGGCTCCCTAACTGGTAGAATGATGGCTATAATGGCGGGAAAGGCCAAATAGAAACCATTAGCACTGCCTCTACATAGAAATATCATGAATCGAAAATAATATCACATCCCTGGAGGCATTGCAGAGATTAGTGCAACCATCAAGGACTTGAAGGACACAGGGGTGCTGATTCCCACTACATCCTTATTAAACTCTCCTATGTGGCCTGTGCAGAAGACAGATGGATTTTGGAGAATGACAGCGGATTATTATAAGCCTAACAAAGTGGTGACTCCAATTGCAGCTGCTGTACCAGATATGGTTTCATTGCTTGAGCAAATTAACACATCTCCTGGTACCTGGTATGCAGCCATTGATTTGGCAAATGGCTTTTTCTCAATTCCTGTCCAAAAGGCCCACCAGAAGCAATTTGCCTTCAGCTGGTAAGGCCAGCAATATACCTTCACTGTCCTACTGAGAGACAGGACTAGCTGGATTTCCTAGGCCGACTAAGAATCCCTAAGCCTAGCTGGGAAGGTGACAGCATCTACCTTTAAACACGGGGCTTGCAACTTAGCTCACACCCGACCAATCAGTAAAGAGAGCTCACTAAAAATCTAATTAGGCAAAAACAGGAGATAAAGAAATAACCAATCATCTATTGCCTGAGAGCACAGCAGGAGGGACAATGATAGGGATATAAACCAAGGCATTCGAGCCAGCAATGGCTACCCTCTTTGGGTCCCGTCCCTTTGTATGGGAGCTCCGTTTTCACTTTATTAAATCTTGCAACTGCACTCTTCTGGTCTGTGTTTGTTACGGCTCAAGCTGAGCTTTTGCTCGCCATCCATCACTGCTGTTTGCTGCCATCGCAGACTCGCCTCTGACTTCCATCCCTCTGGATCCGGCAGTGTGTCTGCTGTGCTCCTCATCCAGCGAGGCACCCATTGCCACTCCCGATAGGGCTAAAGGCTTGTTGCCATTGTTCCTGATTGGCTAAGTGCCTGGGTTCCTCCTAATTGAGCTGAACACTAGTCACTGGGTTCCACAGTTCTCTTCTATGATCCACGGCTTCTAATAGAGCTATAACACTCACCACATGGCCCAAGATTCCATTCCTTGGAATCTGTGAGGCGAAGAACCCCAGGTCAGAGAATATGAGGCTTACCACCATCTTGGAAGTGGCCACCACCATCTTGGGAGCTCTGGGAGCAAGGACCCCCCGGTTACACTACCTCACGGGTATATGACCTCTCCAGCTTTGTGTCATAATTGTATTCGAAGAGACCTTGATTGCTTTTCTCTTCCACAAGATATCACACTTGTCCATTACATTGATAACAATATTAGTCCCTTCTCATGCTGCCAATACAAACATACCCAAAACTGAGTAATTTATATAGGAAAGAGGTTTAATTGACTCACAGCTCAGCATGGCTGGGGAGGCAAACTTACAATTATTGTGGAAGGAGAAGCAAACATGTCCTTCTTCACATGGTGGCAGGAAGAAGTGCTGAGTAAAAGGGGAAAAGCTCCTTATAAAACCATCAGATCTCATGAGAACTTACTCACTATCATGAGAACAGCATGAGGGTAACTGCCCCCATGATTCAATTACCCCCCTACTGGGTCCCTCCCATGAAACATGGGATTATGGGAATTTCAATTTAAGATGAAATTTGGTAGGGACACAGATAAACCATATTATTCAGTTCCTTGGCTGCTCCCAAATCTTATGTCCTCACATTTCAAAACACAATCATGCCTCTCCAACAGTCCCCCAAAGTGTTAACTCATTCCAGCTTTAACCTAAATGTCCAAGTCCAAGTTCAAGATCTCATCTGAGACGAGGCAAGTCCCTTCTGCCTATGAGTCTATAAAATCAAAAGCAATTTAGTTACTTCTGAGATACCATGAGGGCACAGGCATTGGATAAATACACCCACTTCAAATGGTAGAAATTGGATAAAACAAAGGGGCTGCAGGCCCCACGCAAGTCCAAAATCCAAAAGGGAAGTAATTAAACCTTGAAGTTCCAAAATAATCCTCTTTGACTCCATGTCTCATATCCAGGTCACACTGATGCAAGAGGTGGGCTTCCAGGGCCTTGGGCAGCTCCACCTCTGTGGCTTTGCAGAGTACATCCCCCTTCCTGGCTGCTTTCATGGACTAATGTTGAGTCTCTGTGGCTTTTCCAGGGGCAAGCTGTCAGTGGATCTACAATTTTGGGGTCTGAAGGACAGTGGCCCTCTTTTCACAACTCCACTAGGCAGTTCCCCAGTGGGGACTCTGTGTAGGGGCTCCAACCCCACATTTCCCTTCCTTACTATCCTAGCAGAGGTTATCCATGAAGGCTCTGCACCTGCAGCAAACTTCTGACTGGACACCCAGGTGTTTCCATACATCCTTCTAAATGTAGGCGGAGATTCCCAAACCTTAATTCTTGGCTTTGGTGCACCTACAGGCCCAACATCACGTGTAAGCTGCCAAGGCTTGGGGCTTGTACCCTCTGAAGCAATGGCCTGAGTTGTACCTTAGCCCCTTTTAGCCATGGCTGGAGCAGCTGGGACAAAGAGCACCATGTCCCAAGTCTGCACACAGCAGGGGGGCACTGGATCTGGCCCAGCAAACTATTTTTCCCTCCTAGGACTCTGGGCCGCTGATGGGAGGGGTTGCCACAAAGGTCTCTGACATTCCCTGGAGATATTTTCCCCATTGTCTTGGTGATTAAGATCCAACTCTTTGTTAATTATGAAATTTCTGCAGTGGGCTTGGATTTCTACCCAGAAAATGAGGTTTTCTTTCCTATCACATTGTCAGGCTGCAAATTTTCCAAACTTTTATGCCCTGCTTCTTCTTGAATGCTTTTCTGCTTAGAAATTTATTTCACCAGATACCCTAAATCATCTCTCTGAAGAGCAAATTTCCTCAAATCTCTGGGACGGGGACCAAATGCTACCAGTCTCTTTGCATAGCATGAGTGACCTTAACTCCAGTTCTCAACAATTTCCCCTTCTCCCTCTGAGACTTCCTCAGCCTGGACTTCATTGTCCATATCACTATCAACAATTTGGTCAAAGCCATTCAACAAGTCTCAAGGAAGTTCCATACTTTCTCACATCTTCATGCCTTCTGAGCCCTCCAAGCCTCTAGGAAGTTCCAAACTTTCATCTGTTTTCCTGTCTTTTTCTGAGCCCTCCAAATTGTTCCAGTCTCTGCTTGTTACCCAGTTCTAAAGTCACTTCCACATTTTCAGGGATCTTTATAGCAGCACCTCGCTCTCTGTGGACCAATTTACTGTACTAGTTTGTTCTCATGCTGCTAATAAAGACATACGTGAGACTGGGTACTTTATAAAGGAAAAAGGTTTAATTGACTCACAGTTCATCATGGCTGAGGAGGCCTCAGGAAACTTACCATCATGGTGAAAGGGAAGGCAACCATCCTTTTTCACATGGCGGCAGCAAGGAGAAGAAGGAGTAAAAAGGGGGAAAGCCCCTTATAATCCCTCAGATCTAATGAGAGCTCACTCACATCACAAGAACAGCATAAGAATATCCACCCCCACGATTCAATTACCCCCTGCCAGGTCCCTCCCACGACACGTGGGGATTATGGGAACTACAATTCAAGATGAGATTTAGGTGGGAACACAGCGAAACCATATCGATAACATTATGCTGACTGGACCCAGTGAGCAAGAAGTAGCAAACACAGTAAACTTATCGCTGAGACATTTGCATGCTAGAGGATGGGAAAAAAATCTTACTAAAATTCTACCTAAGTGAAATTTCTAGTGGTGTGGGGTCTGTTGAGACATTCCTTCTAAGGTGAAGGAAAAGTTACTGCATTTGGCACCTCCTACAACCAAAAAAAAAAAAAGCACAACCCCTAGTGGGCCTATTTGGTTTTTGGCGGCAACACATTCCTAATTTGGGTGTGTTACTCCAGCCCATTTATTGAGTGTCCCAAAAGGCTGCCAGTTTTGCGTTGGGTCCAGAACAGGAGAAGGCTCTACAAGAGGTCCAGGCTGCCATGCAAGGTGCTCTACTACCTTGACTATGTGACCCAGCAGATCTGATATTGTTTTGCTGTGCCCACACCCAAATCTCATCTTAAATTGTAGTTCCCATAATCCCCACATGTCATGGGAGGGACCTGGTGGGAGGTAATTGAATCAGGAAGGCAGTAACCCTCATGCTGTTCTCATGTTAGTGAGTGAGAACTCATGAGATCTGATGGTTTTATAAGGGGCTTTTCTCCTTTTTACTCATTCTTCTCCTTGCTGCCACCATGTGAACAAGGATGTGTTTGCTTCCACTTTTACTATGCTTGCAAGTTTCCTGAGACCTTCCCAGTCCTGATGAACTGTGATTCAATTAAACTTTCCTTTATAAATCACCTAGGGTATGTCTTTATTTGCAGTGTGAGAATGAACTAATACAAGAACCAATGGTGGTTGAGGTGTCAGTGGCAGATAGGGATGCTGTTTGGAGCCTTTGGCAGGCCCCAACTGGTAAATCACAGCGGAGGCCTCTAGGATTTTGGAACAAGGCCCTGCCATCTTCTGCAGATAACTACTCTTCTTTTGAGAGACAGCTCTCTGTTTGTTATTGGGCTTTGGTAGAAACTGAACATTTGACTATGGGTCATCAAGTCACCATGTGACCTGAATTGCCTATCATGAACTGGGTGCTTTCTGACCCATATAGCCATAAAGTGGGGCATGCACAACAGCATTCCATCATTAAATGGAAGTGGCATATACGTGACAGGCTTGAGCAGGTCCTGAAGGCACAAGTAAGTTACATGAGGAAGTGGCTCAAATGCCCATGGTCTCCACTCTTGCCACTCTGCATTCACTCCCCTAGCCTATACAGATGGCCTCCTGGGGAGTGCCCTATAAACACTTGGCAGAGGAAGGGAAGACTAGGGCCTGGTTTACAGGTGGTTCTGCATGATATGCAGGTGCCACCCAAAAGTGGACAGCTGTAGCACTATAGCCCTTTTCCAGGACATCCCTGAAGGACAGTGGTGAAGGGAAATCTTCCAGTGGGCAGAACTTTGAGCAGTGCACTTGGCTGTGCACTTTGCATGGAAGGAGAAATGGCCAGAGGTGTGACTATATATTAATGGGCTGTAGCCAATGGTTTGGCTGGAAGTTCAAGGACTTGGAAGAAGCATGATTGGAAAATTAATGTCAAAGAAATTTGAGGAAGAGGTATGTGGATGGATCTCTCTGAGTGGTCCAAAGAGAGTGCTTACCAAAGAGTTACCTCATCAGAGGAAGATTTTAATAATCAAGTGGATAAGGTGTCTCATTCTGTGGATACCACTCAGACTCTTTTCCCAGCCACTCCTGTCATTACACAATGGGGCTATGAAAAAAGTGGCCATGGTGGCAGGGATGGAGGTTAGGCATGGGTTCAGCAACATGGACTTTCACTCACCAAGGCTGACCTGGCTAAGGCTACTAATGAGTGCCCAATTTGCCAACAGCAGAGATCAACACTGAGCACTCGATATGGCACCATTTCTCAGGGTGATCACCCAGCTACTTGGTGGTAGGTTGACTATATTGGACCTCTTCCATCATGAAAAGGGCAGCACTTTGTTCTCACTGGAATAGACACTTACTCCAGATATGGATTTGCCTATCCTGCATTGCAGTTCTTCGGCCAAGACTATCGTCTGTGGACTCACAGAATGCCTTATCCACTATCATAATATTCCACACTGAATTGCCTCTGAAAAAGGCACTCATTTTATGGCTAAAGAAGTGAGGGAGTGAACTCATGCCAATGAAATTCACTGGTCTTATCAACGTTCCCCATCATCCTGAAGAAGCTGGATTGATAGAATGATGGAATGGGCTTTTGAAGTCACAATTACAGTACCAACTAGGTGACAATACTTTGAAGGGCTGCGGTAAAGTTCTCCAGAAGGCCATGTATACTCTGATTCAGTGCCCAATATATGGTACTGTTTCTCCCATAGCTAGGATTCATGGGTCCAGAAATCAAGGGGTGGAAGTACAAATGGCACCACTCACCATCACCCCAAATGACTGCCCCCACCAACAAAATTTTTGCTTCTGTTCCTGTGACATTATGTTCTCCTGGTTTAGAGGTCTTAGTTCCAGAGCGAGGAATGCTGCCACCAGGAGACGCAACAATAATTCCAGTAAACTGGAAGTTAAGATGCCACCTGGCCACTTTGGGCTTCTCCTACCTCTGAGTCAACAGGCCAAGAAGGGAGTTACAGTGTTGTCTGGAGTGATTGACCTGTACTATCAAGATGAAATCAGTCTATGACTCCACAGTAGAGGTAAGGAAGTGTATGTGTGAAACACAAGAGATCCCTCAGGGCGTCTCTTAGTATTACCATGCCCCGTGATTAAGGTCAATGGGAAACTACAACAACCCAGTCCAGGCAGGACTGCAAATGGTTCAGCCCCCTCAGGAATAAGGTTTGAGTCAATTCACCAGGTAAAAAAACATGATCATCTGAGATGTTTGCTGAAGGTAAAGGGAATGCAGAATGGGTAATAGAAGAAGGTAGTTATCAATGCCAACTATGATCACCTGACCAGTTGCAGAAATGAAGAATGTCATAAATACCTCCGCCTGATTTTATTAACAGTATGTTTGTGCATGTATACACTTGTACTAAGAAAATATCTTCATTTTATTTCCTTTCCTTTCTCTTTATTATGTGACATAAGATTTATTGACTCCATATCAGCATTTAAGTGTTGTTAACTTTATGTAATAGCATTTAGGTTAAAAATTAGTGTGCTTCCAGTTGTACAAAGGACAGCTTTATTGTTAGATGTAATTATGACCTTATTATTGTCTTTATTTGGAGATGTATGTGGGTATAAGTTGACAAGTGGTAGACTTGTGATGGTTAAGTGTCAACTTGATTGCAATGAAGGATGAAAAGTGTTTTTTCTTGGTGTGTCTGCAAGAATGTTACTAGAGGAGATTAACATTTGAGTCAGTGGATTGGGAGAGGTAGACCCATCTTTAATCTTGGTGGGCATTATCCCCTCAGCTGCCAGCACGAGTAGCAAAAGCAGGCAGAAGAAGCTGGAATGAGCAGACTTACTGAGTCTTCTAGTCTTCCTCTTTCTCCTGTGCTGGATACTTCCTACCCTCCATCATCAGACTCCAAATTCTTTGGCTTTTGGACTCCTGTACTTACACTACTGGTTTGCCTGTGGCTCTTGGGCCTTTGGCCACAGACTGAATGCTGCACTGTTGGCTTCCCTACTTCTTAGGTTTTGGAATTCAAACTGATCCACTACTGGCTTCCTTGCTCCTCAACTTGCAGATGGCCTATCATGGGACTTTACCTTGCAAATCACTTCTCCTTAATAAACTCCCTTTCATATATACATATGTCCTATTTGTTCTGTCCCTCTAGAGAACCCCACCTAATACAAACAGTTACTATAACTATTTTTTTTTTCCTGGAGAAAACAACTACTTTTGGTATTAAAATATGAGGGTGAAAAAATCCTCAGAGCCTCTATAAAAAAGAAATTGTACAATGCAGTAAATTATATTCTCAACCGCATCCTTTCAATAAATAAAACTCCATGGAGTATTTCTCATAATATAGTCACCTTTCAGTATCTGTGAGGGATTGGTTTCAGACAACCCTGCAAATACGAAAACCCACAGATGCTGAAGTCCTTTGTATAAAATAGTGTAGTGTGTGTATATAACCTATGCGAATCCTCATGTATACTGTAAAATATCTCTAGATTACTTATAATAACTAATACAATGTAAAAAGTTGTTGTACTGTATTGTTTAGAGAATAATGCTATAGAAATCTGTCTGTACGTGTTCAGTACAGATGCAACTTTCATTTTTTTCTCCCTAATATTTTCAATCCATGGTTTATTAAATCCATAGACTTGAAACCCACATATATGGAGGGCTTCCTATATACTTTTTTCTTTTTTTCTTTTGAGACAGGGTCTTGCTGTGCTGTCCAGGCTGGAGTGCAGTGGTATGATCATGGATCACTGCAGCCTCAACCTCCTGGGCTTAAGCTATCCTCCTACCACAACTACCTGAATAGCTGGGACTTCAGGCACGTGCCATCCTCTCCAGCTAATTTTTATACTTTCAGTTGAGATAGGGTTTTGCCATATTTCCCAGGCTGGTCTCAAACTCCTAGGCTCAAGTGATCCAGTCAACTTGGCCCCCTAAATTGCTTGGATTACAGGCTTGAGCCACTGAGCCTGGACTATATTTCTTAACTAAAGGGAAAGTGCAATGTGTGGTTTAATTAAAGCACTTCTATATAGCATCAGTATAATTATGATCATGGAGTTGACTGAGGGATTTGCTTAGGTTGGAGATAGATTATGAATATCCAGAGAAATTAATGGATTAAATAGCCTTTCATCAAGATTCCATGAATACTATTTTCTCAAACAAGATTTTAAAAATCAGTCATTCAAGAAATTTCTTTTACATACCTACTACATATCTAAAAATTGTTCCTTATGCTACAGTCAGTATTGAACCTCAAAGATAAGTTTCTGCTTTCAAACATTTCATATTAAAATGGATGTGTGAATGAAAACATCAAATAAGCAAACAGACAAGTTGCAGGAAATGATTAGTGTTAAGCAGAGGATTAATATAGGGAGATGTGAGCCATAGTGGCCTGGTGGTTGGTTTTCCTTTAGTGATTAAAGAAGTTCTCCCTCAGGATGTGACAAATGAAAAAAAATGACAAAAAAGGTCTAGTAACATAGCAGTAGAGGAAAGAACAATCCATATAGTAGAATGTATATTTGGCTACATCAGCAAAGAATTTGGCAGATTCAACAAACAGAGCAATAAAAGTAATAAGCAAGTGGGAGAGCAGTATAAAAAGATATCAGACAGGTGGTTTGTGGCCAAATCCTTTAGAACTTTACAAGCCAGGTTAATAAATTTGTACTTTCTTGTATGTCGTTGGAGATTTTTAACTAGGAGAGCTGACTAACCTGAGGCTCTAATGACCACAGATAATACAAATCTATGGTAAAGTACTAAATTTCAAATAAATAACTTTTGAAACTGTTGTTATATAAAGTTATTTGTTTAGTAAATTTGGGGCATGTACAGTAATATTGTCACTCTTAAGCTATTCACTAACCCACTATAGCTTTATTTAACAAACAATTTTCAATTCAATACATTGGGCCATGAGCGTGTTGGTATACAAAGATGTAGCAGACACAGTTCCTTTCCTCATAATATTTGCAGTCTAGTAAGGATAATAAGTGACATAGCAGAACTTTCAAGAGAATTGGCAAATTTTTGCTATGTAATGTCACAGAAAAATGATATTATTTTGCATTTGAATAATTTCAAGGAACAGAATATAAAAATCTCTAATATATAATCAGGTCGGCATATAATTATCCTAAATTCATGACACAAGTCAGTTAAAATTTCCCTTAACCAAATCTCTGAAAACAGTAGTGAAAAAAAAATCCCTTAAATTGGCAGGTATACAACAGCAACTCGACAACACAGAATACAACCTATAAAAAGTATATGATGTCAGATGGAATAGTAAAACAAAAGGAATCAAAATCACTACAAAAGTATTCAAGATAAAGTGATATAGGAGTCAGCCAAAGGAGATCCAATACGCATATAACAGAAGTCACTGCCAGCCAAAATTAAAGTCATAAAAAAAATTTAAAATTATACTCTACAATATATTTATTTAATACAGATTTGAAAATACGTTTTGAAGGAGCACGTCTTTTCAATAGCAAAATAGCGGAGAGAAAGAGCTCTCCCAGTTAAAAGGAGGTATGGGATCTAACAAACAACTGCAATATGCAGTCTTTGTTTTGATCTTAAAGAGGAAAAAAAAATAGCCTAAAAGGCATTTTTAATAAAGTGGAAGATATTTGAACATAAATAAGAGAGGAAACCACATTATTATTAATTTTATTAAGTATGATATTATTGTAGCTTTGTAGAAAATTCATATTTTTAGATATATATACTGAAGGACTGCATAAGTATTTAATGACATGATGTCTGATATTTATATTAAAAATTCAGCTAAGAAAAAAAGAAAAACGATAAAGAAAATATGGCAAATATCTTAAGAAATTAAATACTGGAGTTCAGTGTACTAATCTCCCTAATTTGTGTATGTTTGAGAATTTCCTTAAAATCAAAAATGAATATATACACGAGAAATCACATTAAAAATAATGGAAACTTAATTGAGAGCCTAGTTCATAACAGTGTGGTGTGATGATTCAGAACATGGGCAAAGGTATAAAATTAGAAGCCGCATTTATTCCTTCCTAACAAGAGGGAGGATGTAAATGCAATTGAGTTTATAGTTTTAATGGAATAGTAGGATTTCAACTACAATCTGCTATGTGTGTGTGTGTGTGTGAGAGAGAGAGAGAGAGAGAGGAAAGAGAAAGAGAAGATTGGATGCCGAAAGTGACAGGTGAAATAATAGCACCAAAGGGTTAAAACAAAAGTATTGAAGTTTGTCATTGTTCCTACTCGGTCTAGGACAGATAAGACCAAGCAAATATCAAAGGATTGATGCACATGTTGAATAAATCCGTTGTGATGTAAAATGCTAGCTTACTTTCAGTCCAAATTCAAGAATGTTTAGTGTTCTGTGGTGAGGAGGATGCAGAGTGAGAGTAGTTGAATCATCCAAGGATTGATATAATAAGGCCAAAGCAAAAGGTAGGACAGTGTCCTAAGGAAGTTGAAAGTATTGAGAAGACTGTGGTTGAAGTAGTGGATAGCATAGTATATACTGATTATATTGTGATTATTACACAATAAATAAAGGTGTAATGGAAATACAGGTAACATAATTGGTATGGAAAATGGAAGCATTTATTCTCTGATTCTTACCTAACAAGAACAAGGAAGAAAAAACTAGATGTTGAAGAAAATTCAATATTTTGTAATATTCACTTTGACTTCAGTTTTAAAATCCGGATTATAAATATCAGTACTTTCTCTCTTCTCAGAATAAACACTAGAAGAATGAGGAACAAAACAAACAAAAACACAAAGCCTATCCTCAACAAAACTAGTAGCAGAGGTTATCTCAAAACAATGTGTAAATGCAACTAAATGAAGTAAAAGTCCGAAAGGATGTTAGAAGATGCCAACCAGGAATACCTTGCTATATCAAATATAAAGAGTAAATCAGTGCTTAAAGTATTTCATGCAACCTGAAAGGCAAAAAAGCAATGCCGTACAGTAGTAAAAACATCCTTATTTCTGTTTTCGTTGCTTGTTTTGTTTTGTTTTTTAGCATGAAGAAGCAAGGAAAGTAGAATTAAATAAGACATGTCATAGGTTGTGTCCAGTAGACTGTCTTTTGAGCACTTTCCCTAGTTTGATCTTCTCTATTTCTTCTCAGAAAAAAAAAAAAAAAAATCAAGTTCCTCACTGCTGGTTTTCAACATCATACTTGAAGTCCTAACTAATGCAATAATAGCATATAATATCCCATATGATATCTGTATACTGGAAATTATAAACATTGATGAAAGAGAAGTTAAAAAAACAAAATAAAGAAAGCAACTTCTATCATGAGGAAGAGTTTTAATTGTTAATTTAAGAATTCTTCATAAATTGTTCTATAGTTTAAAAGCAAAAGCAATTCAGTTCAAAATTCTAGCATATGTACTTTTACTTTCAGCTATGATGGATGGAAAAACGGGCAGGATTTGCCCTCTCACCTGAAAAAAAAATACAAAATATGTGAAGCAATGTTTCATGACATTGTATATAAGCTAACGAAGAGCAATTATCCTGAGAGGCAGGCAACACATGAGAATAACCCTTCCACTGCTTCAGTTTACTGCCTTGTGATGGTTTTCAGGCCATGGAGCAGGAATGGGCAACCAGGCAGACTGCCTGAATAGAGCAGACTGAGCTGAGAGTGCAGAGACCAAGGCGGCTACTTACAAAACAGGGAGGAGAAAGCTGCACAGTGAGAGAGAAATTCAGGTATATGCAAAGGATCCCCTTAAGTATTCAGCTGAGTTCTGTTCAGCAAATGCTGTGAGGAAACGGCCTGGCAGCAGGAAAAGAACTACCCAAATGCCAGTGCTTGACGTTCAAAGGGCCAGGAATAGTGGCTATCCTCCAGAGTTTGACTGAAAAACCTCACTTTTCGTTGTGCATAGAGTATAAAACAGAGTATTGCCTCAATGATGAGAAATTAGCTCTAGAAATTTTAAAGAAAATGATTTGGGTGGAAGGAAAAAGATATCATATGGAAATCTGTATCTCCACATAGAAATAAAGAACATGGAGAATAATAACTATTAATAAATGATGGAATATATAAATTTTTTTATTTAAATCCCTTAAAAGATAACTGAATGTTTAACACACACAAAAATAAAAAGTTTATCACATATTTCTGTTATTTGGGCTTATTTGTGCCTGAACTCATTTGTACCCTGCCTGCTTTATGATAGATTACTGTAGGGGCCACCCAATATTCCTATTTAGTAGGTATGACAAGACCCAGCTCACTCTGGGTAGTTGTGGCTGCAAGGTTACTTGATGTCCCATGGCTAGGTTCTTCATCGCTGTCAGAGTGCAGAAGTACACAAGGAGCTGTTTTTGCAATGCTGTACAATTAACTGTTCCAGGTAACAGGCCTTTACTTCAAAATCCTAGATATGATTGATATTCTCTTATTGAAGATTGACATAAAATTCATGAGATTTCTGCCAATTTGGCCCTGCAGCCTAGGAATGCATAAGAAAAATTTCCTACTCTAGACCAAAAATCAAAGCTACCTGAGTTTCTTCTTAATCGGTAAATTGGCTTACAAGTGTAGATAGAGCATGCTGTCTTCCGAACCCAAAGAGTCATTTTGCTTTGTTCCTAGTGACAGAAAATGTACAATGCAATAATTTGTGCTTTCCATGGGTTGTCCCAATACGTCTATATTTTGTAGATCATTCTCCACAACATTCGCTGATGTGGTGGGCACCTAATGTATTTTTGGTTTTTATCTCCCACCTTCTGGAGCATATGTGTCTTATCATAGTCTCCAATGTCCTTGACATTGTTTGTTAAGTCCAAATAACATGATGGAGTAGTTATACTGGAGGATATAACAATATAGTATGATGTTCTGTATAATGCCCAGGTGGTTCAAGTTCCTCCAGAATACATAGCGACAGAGGATGTGGGGAGTCAAAAGCCTTGCAGAAAAACTCTAAACAAAATCCTTGCAGAAAAACTAAGTATATATACTGTTAACCAAACCATGTGAGTATAAGCTATTTCTGGTCCTCATTTCTAATAGAGATGGAAAAGAACATATCTGCTCACGAAAGGACACGCAAAAGATTGAAGCAATGTTAATTTAACAAAGATAACACATGACAAACAGCTGCAACTAGGGCTACTACTTCATTGAGTTTCCAGTAGTCTACCGTCTACTGTAATACTCCAAGATATACTTCTTTTTTTTTTTTTTTTTTTTTTTACAGCTAAGCGGTAAAAATAAATGGGAAAAAAGATGGGAACCCTCTTTTAAGTTTCTAGGGATGGTATTAATCTCTACCACCTTTCCAAGAATGTAGTATTAATTTTTTATTTACTTTTTTGGCCAAGGTAGAATACTTTCTAGGGCCTTTTCTTCGTCTCCTCCACCTTATAATAGCATTTGTCCTATAGTCTAAGTGGGCTATCTATGAAGCAGACTTGGGCTAGGAAATCTTCTCTTTTTTTTTTTTAAACCTTTTGAACACATGCTCCTTCTGAAAGGGGACTCATCAGAGTGCTCAGACGTCAGGTATCAGTGTGAACCCAAACTCTGCATCAAGAGGTCTTTATTTTCATATATCATCTTCTCTGTGTAATTGAGTAAATGACCATAGGTCCATTTAAAAAAGGACTTGGGAACTCATTATTGCCATAGAAACCCAGCATTCATTTTCATGGGAATCTGTCTTCTTTTTCAGACAAAATATTTCACATCTGAAAACTGGCTCAGGTTCAGAACATATGCACAGAATCATGACTTTTTGTTGGAGTAGCTGCTTTTAACCTCTTGATCATCTACCTTTAATTGCTTTTAGTTCTACACCTTGTTGTGTGAACATCTATGTTGCCACAAATCAATCCATTTCATATTAAGCATTTCTATATGTCTAGTGTATTAGACACCCGTAGCTGCATGACTACCGCTCTGAACTTGCCACTCATTGTAATGACTGCACCCAATTGCAGCTTACAATTAAATACTAGACAATGTCTCTATTATTTTGAGGTCCTGCTATCTATATTACTCTCAGAAAGCCTCTTAGAAATTCAAAAATTTAAAATAATAAAATTATTCAAATTATTAATGAAAAATCTGGCCACTGAAAAATGAAAAACTGGGTTCGCTCAAGAAATATTAAAGGGTAACTAAGCTATACTAACAGCTCAGATTGAATAGTGTTTTTAGTAGGGGAGCATTTTATACTCTGCTTACAGTTTGATTGTTATGGCCAACCATCTTCCTTGAGAAATCAGCATTCCATGTATTTTCAAAGCAGAAAAAGCAACTGAAGTGAAGACCCCTGCTGGCAGAGATGCTGCTGCATGTTTTTCAGCCCCAAGGTTAATCCAAATCTGATTGTGCCTGTGGCTTTACTTTAACTTTTAAGGTAACTCGTTGTAAGAATTATGTTTCTATTGGACTCTAGTAACCTCCAGAGATCTCCTATAGATTACCTTTTTTAAAGTGACCAACACAATGGTAAAAGTTCCTAAAAATGCAATGGAATAAGAACATTCAAATCCATGAACATTTTTGGTCACTTTTTTAGTGTGTGGCAGGGGATTTCTGAGCACTAGAAATGTAAGAGAATACCAAAAAGGAAGAGCCAATCATTTACATAACTTCAGTAATTTAAAAAATTAATTGATGATTTCCATTGTAGAGATTGCTTCGAAGAAGACATTAGAAAGGATAGCTAAAGCTTCTCTGAAACACTAAAGATGGCCACCTAAAATAAATGCAATGGGTTTAGCCTTGGGAGAAACCACCTATTCCACAGACAATAAATGAAGGAGAAAATGAGAGAACAGGAGACAGAAGAGATTCCATGGAATGGAAATTTTAAACAAGTCAAAAGAGAACAAAAATAATTGAGATCTTGATGATTCCTAACTTGTGGTTAGTGAGTTATGGTTCTAATATTTTTACATTAATACATTATGAATATTGTATATTTAAGATTCATACATTTATAATATATATATTTTTTAAATAAATAAGAGTTAGTACTATTTGGATAATTAAGTACTTGACTATTTGCCATGTAAACTTGCTAAGAATCTTGTCTTTCTGATTCTAGTCTGGATTGGATTTTATTGCTGTAATTAGTTTTATTTTTTCTTATTTAACATTTTAGGTTTGATTTGCATTCTGAAGCATTTTAAGGCATTATGTTCTACTAGGTAAATTTATTATAGAAATGAGTATTTATATCCCTTCCCTGTATTTTTCTGCTTTTCTTAATTAACATGTATATTCTTAATGTTAATTGGTATGTACTTCCATGTCTCTAAAGTTGCGGGATATGCTTTCCTGGAAACCTTTTTATACTTTCACATTTGTTACTACTCTAGATATTGTCACCCCAGGTTTTATAAAAATGGTTTGTTATAGTGCATTGTTTATTTCTCCATTGCAATTGCTTCCAGGGTTCTATTCTAATTAATACTTCATTTGTAGACACCTCAAATTCCTCTATTTGCTTTTGAATATATGCAGTTTAAAAGTTTTCTTTGGGGCCAAGTGTGGTGGCTCATGCCTGTAATCCCAGCACTTTGGGAGGCCGAGGCAGGCAGATCACCAGAGGTTGGGAGCTTGGGACCAGCCTGACCAACATGGAGAAACCCTGTCTCTACTAAAAATACTAAATTAGCTGGGCATGGTGGCGCATGCCTGTAATCCCAGCTACACGGGAGGCTGAGGCAGGAGAATTGCTTGAACCCAGGAGGTGGAGGTTGCAGTGAGCAGAGATCGTGCCATTGCACTTCAGCCTGGGCAACAACAGCGAAACTCCATCTCAAAAAAAAAAAGTTTTCTTTGGATGCAAAGAGGAAGTAGAAATCACAACTACTTAAGAGACCCTCTGCTTCAAGAAAACATTACAACAAAAATTGAGAGAACAAAGTGTTTCCTGCTGAGAGCCGATTTCAACAAGTAGTTGTGTATGGGCGAAACATGATGACATTTGACAACTTTTTAGCAACTTCTAATCATGTTCTTGTTCGTGTTGTTACTGTATATTAAATGAGTTTTCAGATCTTCGACACTTCCACATTCAAATATAAATTCAAACACTCTCTGTGGATGAACACAAATTGATTCAGGGTTATTCATATCTGCTTCCTACATTAGTACAGATAATTGGGAGCTAAATTTTACCTTACAGAATTAATTAACATTGCAAACCTTTTAGAACACTATTGAGTTTTCAGGGGAAACAGAAGATGTTGTCTAACTCAGCGAATTTACCCCATAAATTGGAGATGTAGATATATACAAGAATTCAAAAACATGAAGTAATTTTTGTAATGTAATTTTAACAGAAATTAGAATGTGGGAAAAAGCATAATATAAAGTACATTTACATAGAAAGACAGGAGTTTACAAATAAAAAATTTATTTTGTGACTACGTTTTTAACAGAAGGTCTGGCTTTTTGCGATTTTAATTAGGATTTTATTTATAATGAACCTAAAATATGCTTGAATTAGATTTCAATCTAAATTTAAATTGTACATGCATAAATTGTTTTATTTGGTATGGACGAAAACATAGAGTGATAGAGAAAGCTCTTATACATGATGTACTCCATAATCTAATTTTCAAATTTTATCAATTTTTTGGGAGGCTTTCACTGGATAATTCTGAAAGCAGAACTTCAAGCACAATGTCTTGATTATAATAAATTAAACAAATATTTCTATGAATCCTGCAAAACTATTTATATTATTTGCATTTTAAATTATAAGTACATGTGTGAATTTCATATCATCTTTACTGGAAAATTTTACTGTTATATTTCAGAGTGCCAGGATATATAAAAGAGGGATAATTTTTATATAGATACTGTCATAATCTCATCAAAACATGTTATAATTATAATGCCCAGCGTTTTAAGAATCCCATGTAATTTTAAAAATTCGATTACAGCATCAAATAGCATAAGACTATGCTTATTAAAGAGATGTTAAGTTATTTAAAAGTACTAAATCTGATAGCTTACTTGTACCTTCATTAATGTAGCTAAAGAAGATTAGAAGTTTATGAGCCAGGCGTGGTGGCTCGTGCCTGTAATCTCAGTACTTTGGGAGGCCAAGGCGAGTGGATCACCTGAGGTCAGGAGTTCAAGACCAGCCTGACCAATATGACGAAACCCCATCTCTACTAAAAATAGAAACATTAGCCGGGCACGGTGGTGTGTGCCCGCTGTCTCAGCTACTCAGGAGACTGAGACAGGAGAATTGCTTGAACCTGGGAGGCAGAGGTTGCAGTGAGCCAAGATCATGCCGCTGCACTCCAGATTGGGTGACAGAACTGTACTGTCTCAAAAAAAAAAAAAAAAAAAGAAAAATATTAGACATTTATTTTATTTCTGAATGTCTATGATAGGTAAAGGTCAATAGGTTATATGAGGACTAAGTAATACCAGAAACTAGAAAATATTGAAATAGAGAACATTGTAAGTTTATCTGATGCTAACTTTTAAAAGTGGGTGTCTACTCATAAAAAAATGTTGCTATTTTGCTATTTTACAATATAAATGAATTATTTGAGGAGACAGAGAGGTTTTTGGAAAAATTAATGTTTTCAAGAGCATATGTGATTTTAAGATGTTTTTGCCAAAGTTTACTTGCTATGCAATTTACATTTTAATTGTATTTTGTTTTTATCCAGCTTCACTGAGGTAAAATTGGTATACAAAAGACTGTACATATTTAATGTATGCAGCTTGGTGAGTTTGGACATATGTATGCGCTTGTATTACCATCACCACTGTCCACATAATAAACACATCACTTTTTAAAGTTTCTTTGTGTTCCTTTGTTCATTTGTTTGTTTTTGTTTTTTTGGGGTAAGAACAGTTAACATAAGATCTACCCTCTTAATAAATTTTGAAGTACACAATACCTTATTGTTAAACTATAGGCATTATGTTTTATAGCAGATCCCTGGAACTTGCTTATCTTATATAATGGTAACATTATACCTATTGAACAGCTACCTATATCCCCCACCCCAACCTCTTGTAATTACCATTTTACTAGTATTGTAATACAATATTTTGCAAAATGAATAAGAATCTTAAGAGAGAATTAACATATTAGAATAATATATGTTAGAATGAAGATATTATTTATATTTAAAATAATCTAATTATTTTTCTTTTTAGTTAAGGCTCAAAGCAAAATAAATACAAGATGCTTTCTAAGTAAATATTTTTTATCTAGAAGTCATGTATTTGCATATATGTGTATTTGTGTGTGTGTGTGTGTGTGCCTATAAACACCAAATGTCTATATGTAGATATATATTCAGACCCTTGACAATTTTGATCATAAAAGTTATATCTGATCCAGAAGTCTGGTATGATGTGTGTATGCATACATTTATATGTGTACGTGTGTGTGTGTGTGTGTGTGTGTGTGTGAGTGTATACACACACATATATAATCTGCTTCAAATATAATAGTGATTTTATTTATCTTCATCTCTTCTCAAATTTGATATCCATGTAAGTAGAGATTATGTGTGTTTTGTTTGATGTTATTTCCCCAAAACTTAACATACGCTCCACTTAATAACATTTCCTGAATAAATGAGCATGTCATACATTCTAAATGACTGTTTCTCTTTCCATAGAATCCATTCCAATGCAATAGATAATTATCTATTACTTAAAAATATAAAAAACATTTTATGGGCATATTTTCTCTCACTTTTTTGTGATATTTATAAATTTGTATTTAAAACTACTTTATTCTTAGCAAGAGGAATGATTATACCGCTGTCTTTGGAAACAGGGTTTTCAGTTTTGAGGAGAAAGAAAGCAGTATCTATTTTTTTTTTGTCCAGCATTTTAATGTATAGAAAAATAATTACTAAGAAAGAGGGGTTTAAGATGATGAGGATTTAGGCCACACATACTTTCTGACTTCAGAAATAAGTCTCCAACCTTAGCTTGGCTTTATACATAATACAAAGGATTGTTTTCACTGATTTCTCCAGGTAGGTTTGCAAATCATGCACATAGTGGTTGGCAGCAATTTTTCTTAGCACTATCTTCTCTCAGGAACATATCCAGAAATGTAAAAATATACTCACACATTTATTTTGTGATAATCAGAGGAAGTATAAACTTTTATACCTCAAGAAGTGTTATTTAAAATTCTATATTATCAGTAAAAGTATATGACAATAATTTTGCTTTATCTTATTAATTCACATGAAGCTGATGAGACATTATGAGTAGAGAATTCACTGATTATTTATATTTTGTTAGGAATGGGTTCGCATTACTCATCACTTCCTTTTGCACTAATCATAGCATATGGAATGTATTTAGTGCAAGTAAAATTGTAAATTATATTCATCATGATCTAGTCAAGAGGAATTCTTATTCCCACCTATTCACATGTAGCAGTAATTGTGTTAAAATGTATCAGTGTGTATATGTGTTTGTACATATGCATATATTTGTATATATGCATACAACTTTGTGTGTATGTGTGTATACAAATATGTATGTATAAGCTGTATCAATCCATGTATTTGTCTCTAAATATGTGCACCCACAAATAATATATGAAATAATATATATGATTTTTAACACAAACTATACTAATATATAATTCTATTATAGGACACAATTTTAAATATTACTTGGCATATACATTTTAAATAACCTTTAATTGAATTTAAAAGATGAAATTAAAAAAATAGCAATTATAATTTTTCTACTGGCACTAAAAAAAAAAAAACAATTAAAAGATTCAGCCTGCTTAGCTATTAAGGATACCATGACAAAAACAACAGTGGTCTTTGGGCATTTTCTTTTCTTTCTTTTTTTTTTTTTTGAGAGAAGGTCTGTCTCTATCACCCAGACGGGAGTGCAGTGGCATGATCTCAGCTCACTGCAACCTCTGCCTTCCGGGCTCAAGCCATCCTCCCACCTCAGCCTCCTGAGTAGCTGGGACTAGAGGCAGGCACCACCACACCCAGCTAATTTTTGTACTTTTTGTAGAGACAGGGTTTCGCCATGTTGCCCAGGCTTGTCTCACCTGGTGGAGGCATTGTAATTTTGTAAGGAAAAAAGTCTGATAAAAGTCTACTTATATAAATAACTATCTGAAGAAAATATTGCCTAGGTTTTTGTTTCCATTTTAATTATTATTTTTTATTTTCCCAAATGGCTTGCGTTTGAAAAGTGAATAACGTATATTATTAACAAAGCAAGTAAAGATGCAATGTGCAGAAAAAATTCACTATTGCCAAATTAGATACTCAATTTAAAGATCATAGGATTGCATTTAGAAACAGAACCATTTAGCGTAATATATTCCATGAATATATAATTTTCACCAGGTCAGCCCCTTCTTTTTTGATTTTCTCTACAATGCCCAAATGAGCTCTTTGCTTTCTATTCTGCATCAAAGACAAATTACTTCCTTCCTGTACTCAGGAATATAAGAATATAATGAAACTCAATGTCATTTAGCCAGGCATCATATTATAAAGATCGGTCACTCCAACTAGGTTTAAAAACTTTCTCAGAGCTGGTAAATCGCACCTGTTTTGTCCCTTTCTTGATTAAAGTAGAATGGAAGGAGATAAAATTACAATCAAGTGTTCACTACATAATTTTTTTGAACATCTAGGAAAGTAATTCTCAAACATTTTTTGTATGTTGTCCATTTACACGAGAAACCATTTTATTACTAAATGATAGAAATACTTGATTTTCATAAATTAGTATACACTGGAAATCACTGTATACTTTCTCATAAAAAAGGTATACTTTTTCATAAAAAAGTATACACTGGAAATCACTGAGATTTTGAATTTAGGAATTTAGTAAAGTTTCTTCCTGAAGCATTGAAAGACTCCTATGACGCATTCATTCTAAATATGAATGGAAATTTCAAAACTTTTCTGAGAGAATGTATCCCCTATTGAACTTGCTTAGTTGTTGTTACTATTACTTTTTTAAAAATAATAACAAGTTAATTAGATTTATCATTATAATCTCTTTGTCAGGTTTTTAGCAAGTAGATATGTCAATTTGTTTAAGTATTTTGGCCTCTAGTTCCGAAGACGTTTATACATGAAAGTGTGGTTTTTCGAACAGAAAGATGCCATGTCCCAGTGTTAAACAGTTGCAACATATATCACAGGGTATCTTACTTATACCATAGCATGTTATTAGTTATTTGCTGCATAGTGTTTCTTTAAATATGTTGCCTATTAACATAATCTTTTTTAAAAAAAATGCCTTTCTTCTGATGGTCTCTGTGTAATTCGTGTCCTCGCTGCCCACCAGACTCGAACTACTGCTATGGTTGGACCCTCCAGGATTTTCTACATTTTTCATTCTGAAAACTTCCTGACTCATGCTTTGATAGAAAGAGATAGTGTGGCTCACGCCTGTAATCCCAGCACTTTGGGAGACCAAGGCAGGCAGATCACCTGAGGTCAGGGGTTTAAGACCAGCCTGGCCAAAATGGGGAAACCATGTCTCTACTGAAAATACAAAAATTAGCCAGACGTGGTGGCGGGTGCCTGTAATCCCACCTACTCGGGAGGCTGAAGAAGGCAAATCACTTGAATCCAGGAGACGGAGGTTGCGGTGAGCTGAGATTGTGCCACTGCACTCCAGTCCGGGGTTCAGAGCAAGACTGTCTCAAAAAAAAAAAAAAAAAAAAAGATAGATACTCTTTTCCATTATGCAAGGGATTCTTTCCTAATTAACTTTGAGATAAAAAACAATTCCCATTATTCAAAGCATTAAATGTTTTGTCATTGTGCCATAGTCAAAATGATCATTTTGTGTATGTTGCTCAGTCATTTGACTTCCTTTGTTCAATATTGGGTGAGCATGAAATGAGTATGTCGTTCTTTTCAGACATCCCAACTTTCTTCTTTATTACAACCCCTTTTGCACATGCTTTTTTCTCTTCCTTCTTTCTGAAGCATTGTGCACATTTTTCTCTTTGAAGGTGTGATTATTTTAAATATATATTATTCATTTGTGTCATATTTGATTAAGTTTTCTTGCATGAAATTTATTGATTTACAGAAATGAAAATTAAAGTGTCTCATAATAATATCAAGAATAATAACACATCCAATGTATTGAATACCTTCTATGAATCAGATGTTATATTAGATATACTAATTACATCTTTATAATACATTAAAAAATTAATTATGCAAATGTTAAATTGACAAATTGGAAAGAAACTTCTCATTGAATAACATTGTCAGGTTTGTTTTATTTAAATTATGTAGAATCTGTTATGTATCAGAAACTAGTGCTTGATAAATATTAACTCATATATTCCGCATGACAAATATAAGAGGTCATTCATTATTATTACTATACACTTTTTATAGCTGAGGAAAATGCAGCACTGAGAGGTCACACAAGTTGACCTCTGGATCATGTAACTAACATCAAACCTGGGCGGGCTGACTACAGAGTACACAGGCTCACCCACAATGCAATGCAAACTCCCATTAATTGCCTTCATCCTGAAGGAGCACATGCTAACCACAACTGACACCTGCTGGTTTGTTTAAAAACAAATAATGGCGACCAGGCATGGTGGCTCATGCCTGTAATCCCAGCACTTTGGGAGGCAGAGGTGGATGGATCAGGAGGTCAGGAGTTCGAGACCAGCCTGGCCAATATGGTGAAACCCGTCTCTACTAAAAATACAAAAATTAGCCAGTCATGGTGGTGTGTGTCTGTAATCCCAGCCACTCAGGAGAATGAGACAGGGGAATCGCTCGAACCCGGGAGGCAGTGGTTGCAGTGAGCCAAGATCACGCCACTGCACTCCAGCCTGGGCAATAGAGTGAGACTCCGTCTCAATAAATACATAAATACATAAATAAATAAATAAATAAACAAACAAACCAGGGCACCAAGGAGATGCAGTGATGCTGTAAGCATATACAGGTACTACAGTTATACAAAGTTCTGAAAGACTAAGGGTTAAAGGCAACATTTATGATTCCTTTTGCAAATAGTTGTGACTTCATAACAAAGAAGAGATTGCTAGATGGTGCTAAAATGTAAACTAAAATATCGTGCCATTACTTAAGAGATTAAAATGATGTAGCCTTAACAAGAGTTTAGGCACATTGTATTGAAAAGGAAGAGATGAAATTTGCTCTAAAATTAATAGGTTCTCTTATTATACCTCTAAGTTAGAGATAACTTGATCAGGTAAATCTATAAACTCAAGTATTACATGAAGAGAAAAGTAACAGCAGAAGAAATATTCAAACACAATAATAAAAGGGGAGTGGCTCACATTTAAGTCCTATAGCTTGACTGGTTAAGTGTCATTAAGGTGACACCCTCTCATACTGGGTGCACACTTTCAGGTCTGCCTTTCATTCATCTTATTTGGAAGACCTCTCTGTGTATAAAACTCCATTGTTGGATGCTGCCTTATATTTTTCCAATTTTTTTGGTCACTCCTCCCTAGTCCTTACTTACACTTCAAGACCTATTTTGAATCATACTTGTACCTTAAGTTCTCATATTATCACAATCTAATTGTATATTTTTTGTCAGAATTCCTATAATAGTGTAATTTTGATTTGTGCTAAGTAATAACATATTTTCTTATGTAATTACAGTTTAAAATAACTGCCTATTTTAAATTTTAGCACTCCTTTGTCTTAATCTGTCTGTATTTTTGGTTAAATACTAAGTGTATTGCCCACAGTAGGTTTTCAAAAAAAATGTATTTAAAAAGTCGTTAGTGTGACTTGACATGCCCAAGATATCTAAAAGGTATAAAGAAAGTCTGTTCTTAAGGCTTTTGATAAAATGATTTATCATAAAAAAATTGTCAAAAATTTCTCAAAATGTGGGTACTCTTGTGGTGGCAGAATAATAGTTTTCAAGGATGTCCGCATACTAATTCTCAGTACTTTTCAATATGTTATCTTATAAGTGAAAAAGGACTTTTTATGAATGATTCAGTTAACACCTTGAGATTCTAATTTAATCCTGGATTATCTGGATAGACAAATCCAATCGCATAGATCAGTAAAAGCTGAGACTCTTTCCTGGCTGTGGTCAGAAGGAAAGAATGGTCAGAGAGAAGCAAAGTTGCAGGCTTTGAGGATCCAAGGAGATAGAGTCAAGAAATGTGGGTGGCCACTAGAATTTGAAAAGGGCCAGGGAACAGATTTTTCCCTACAGACTCTAAAAGAAATGCAGCCCAGCTGATACTTTGACTTCAGCTCAATGAAAACCTCATGAGATTTCTGAGCTGTAGAAATACAAAACAATACATTTGTATGTGTTTAAACTAATAAGTTCGTAGTAATTTGTTAGCACAGTAATAAAAATCTAATACATCTGCAATGATAATACAGATTTTTTCACACTAATAAAAAATTAAACATAGTCTGGTTCCTTTCATGTTATGATCTTTAAATCATAAGCATTACTTCAGCTTTCTATGTCATACGACTATAACAACGTCTCATGAAATTTTTAGCATCTGTACTTGGAGAAGGGTCAGCATGTAAGTTGGATGTAAGCGTTGAGAAAATAGTCTTCCAGTTTTTGCATAACAGACAGTAAAATGCATGGCAATTTTTTCCATAAATTTTCCTGGTAATGTTCACGAAATCTCTCTCTCTTATCAATCACTCATCTATCTCACTAATCCCTCTCTAGCTCTCTCTATTTCCCTCTTTATATCTGTATATCTCTCTACCTCTCCTCTCTCCTTTCTCTCTATCTCTCTTATCTCTGTTTCTCCTGTCTCTTTCTCTCTCTTTACTCCTCTCCTCCTTCTTTCTCACCTCCCTCTCTCCCCTCTCTCTTTCTTTTTCATCTCATCTCTCTGTCTCCATCCATTTCTATCAACAATCTGATGATATCTGGATGCCTGTAAAATTTTGAAGATAAGAATCTATCCAAGTTTTAACTGAAACAAGTTATGCCAAAACTGGGGGACTTTCCAGTTTCAACACTCTCATTTGCTGTCATTTATAACATGTCCTACACGTATTGGTAAATCACAGTTCTGTCTCTTTCACCTACCTTGTATCTGCTCCCCCTTCTTAAGTTTCAGTTTCCTAAAATAGGTGACTGTAATGTAATTTATTTTCTCTAATAAAATTATAGCTAAATATGACTAAACTCAAAGGTAAACAAAGCTGACTACATTCTTGTTCATCATCATGTGATCTCATGATTTACAAATGTTGACTGTAATCAAGCAAAAAGTGACTAGCTCTCTTTTGCTTGCTCGTTTCTGGTTTTGATCTTTGCATGCATGTCTTCTCTTTTGAAAGTCCTATGCTTCTCCCACTTCTTGTCCAATCTATTAAGCTGTCTATCTAACATCTATCATCTAACTGAGACTTTATTCTCATTTAAAACTCTATCAGAATTAGTCTGCATAGAATTTTAAAAGTAAGCAAAATAAATTATTTTAAGCCCCTAGAAGCAAATTTGGAACTATCTTTGATTTTTTCCATTAATTTTTGCGTATTCAAGCAAAAAGAAAAACTTAACTTTTTTGTACTCTTTAACTCAGTATACTAACATTAAGTATATCATAGACACAGAAAACAAATGCGATAAAAAGTACTTAAATATTCAATAATATTCTTTAAAATTTGTAAATAACAAAGCTCATAATGTCTTGCTTTATTTTATAAACATAATATAAAGTTACTCATATTCATTCACCAAATTAGTTACCAAGGAACATTTTTTAGAAAGTGTCCATTAATCATTAGGAGCACAAACTCCAGATGGAGGCTATTAGCTTAAAACCTTGGTTCTAACTCTGACTGGCTCTTTGGTCAAGGGGAAGTTTCTGTGTGTTCTCTCCATATCTTGGTTCTTTATTGAGTTCCTGGGAGAATTAAGTAAGTTAATATACATTAAGTCATCACAACAGTATAAATACACAATAAAAAAGCATCATGAACTATAGGCGACAAATAATGTAAAACAGCAGCTGGAACAGGTATTAGATTATGTAGTGATAAACTGATGATGAACAGATAAGACAAATCTGAAAATCATGTTTTCTGAATGAGAATGGCATATAAATACAATGTGGCATAATACATTAATCTGCCTTACTATCAAAATAACTATTGCTGTGCTCTTCACCATCAATAAAGCAATACCAAAAATCCCTCGAAGTAGTGAAAATTCAAAACATGTCCAGATAAAAATTGCTTTTATATTGATGCCACCTCTAGGGATATGTTTGGAATTGAAATTCTTGTTTTTGATCACCCTGACATTATTGTTCATTGGAATGAACATGAGAAATTGCTCATCGAAGACGCATAAAATTTCTTAAAAGATTGAAATTTAAAACCCATCCCTGGAGCTTGTCTTAATATTGAAGCAATTTCATAGCCAGGGTTTGAATTTAAGCCCTCATGGATTTCAAATGAGAATTATTTTTACACTGCTTAGCCAGTAAAATAGGAGGACTATCAGTATAGAAATACTGACATTGAGACGGTGCAAAATTCAGATTTTCCAAATGAAATAATATATTATATATGTAGTACTATATTTTTCTGATAAACTTCATTTTCATTTTAATGCTCAAGTTTATAATAACGATAATAGAATACAAGATATTGCTTTGGTAAATCAGATTTTTAAAACTCTAATGACAAAAATGTAACATTTTTTCTGCAGACATGAAAATAATGCTAGGGCAATACTTATTTGTCTATTCCTTTCATGGATATTTAAATGATAATGTGCATTTTTTGCATGATAGCATAATATATTTATACGCAATGTATAATCATGTCATTCAACTATTATTGTATTTTCTAAGAGCATAGTTCATAACACTAAATTAATAAGACTGAATGAAAATATGAAGAATATAGATTAGATCTAGCTATGAATGTGTTTCTTTGTTTTGTTTTATTTATATAGGTACAAGTTTTCGAGTAAATAACTTGTGTTTAATGTGCATCTCTTAAGAAAGAGCTTGAGGCATTGCTCCCCTAGGCCACTGAAATGAATCAAGAGGGAGTAATCATTAATTTGACAAATATTTTTTTAAACACATGTTAGACAAACCTATTGTTGTGGTTAATAAAAATCATTCTAATACTCAAATTAGAGGAGAAGGAAAATAAAGAAAATAATGTCACTTCTCAATACATTGTGTAATGAGCATAAATAGAATAAAAGGGAATGTAAGGGAGATTCAGGAAACCACTTTGCAGGAAGAGATAAGAGCCACACACTGGCCAGAAAAGAAACAAGGAAAATCAAGCTAATGGGGTGTATTTGGGCTGGAACATAGCCAGGGAGGGAGATAATGGTTTGTGAAGAGCTCAGGAAGACTGCTGTGGACCAGTTTATATAGCCTCAGAAAGGCATGTTACATTTGTGCTCAAATTACACAAGGAAGTCACGAGGAGAAGCTTTTAAGGAAGTCCATTACTTGATTTAATTTACATTTTAAGAAAACTTCTGTGACAACCTGTGAGAGGGTCTGAGGTGTTTGTGTGTGGAGGGGATTATCAGTGAGGAGGTAAGGAGGGAGGCCAGTTAAGAGGCTCTTGCAGTGTTCAGGTGAAAGAACAAGTAAAATAATGAGAAACACCATTTGTTTTTGTTGATTAAAAACTCAACTGGCAGCCTATTTGAGAAGATATAAACTTGATATTGGTATATCTAAAAATTGAGCCACCAACCCCAATAACCTACCAAAAAAAAAAAAAAAAGATACTTTTTAGCTATAATGAGAAACACCTGTCTGTTATAGTCGAGATCTGTGTCTCCACCAAATCTCATGTCAAATTGTAATCTCCAGTGTTGGAGGTGGGACCTGGTAGGAGGTGACTGGATCAGGTGAGTAGTTTCTCATGAATAGTTTAGCATCAACCACATGGTACTGTTCTCATGATAGTCAGTGAGTTCTTGTGAGATCTGGTCATTTAAAAGTGTATAACAGCTTTCCCCTTTCTCTTGTTTCTTCTCCCATCATGAGAGATGCCCAGCTCCTCCTTTGCCTTCTGCCATGATTGATTTCTGCCTTCTCGAGGCCTCCTCCGAACCTGAGCAGATGCCAGTGAGAGGTGACAACGTGCTAGCATCCCTCCCTGGCTCTCAGAGCCTCCTCGGCCTCGGCGTCCACTCTGGCCACGCTTGAGAAGCCCTTCAGCCCGCCGCTGCACTGTAGGAGCCCCTCTCTGGGCTGGCTGGCGTGGAGCTGAGTGTGGAATGTGAGCTCCCGGCGGGCCGGGCACTCTGAGTGGCGGCCAATGCCGCTGGCCCCAGGCAGTGAGGGACTTAGCACAGGGCCGGTAGCTGTGGAGGGGGCGCTGGGTCCCCCAGCACTGCTGGCCTGCCCACGCCACACTCGAATTCTTCCCAGGCCTCAGCCGCCTCCCCATGGGGCAGGGCTCAGGACCTGCAGCCTGCCATACCTGAGACCCCCACACCCGCGGGAGGCTCCTGCATGGCCTGAGCCTCCCCAAGGGTTGCCACCTCCTGCTCCGTGGGACCAGTCCCATCAACCACCCGAGGGCTGAGGAGTGCAGGTGCGCGGCGCGAGACTGGCTGGCAGCTCCGCCGGCAGGCAGCTCTGGCCACGACCCTGGCATGGGATCGACTAGGCGAAACCAGCTGGGCTCCTGAGTTGGGTGGGGACTTGGAGAACTTATATGCCTAGTTGGAGGATTGTATATGCACCAATCAGCACTCTGGGTCTAGCCTGGGGTTCGTGGATGCACCAGTCAGCACTCTGTATCTAGCTAATCTTGTGGGGACTTGGAGAACTTTTACATCTAGCTAGAGGATTGTAAATGCACCAATCAGTACTCTGTGTCTAGCTCAAGGTTTGTAAATGCACCAATCAGTGCTCTGTGTCTAGCTAATCTGGTGGGGACTTGGAGAACTTTTACCTCTAGCTAGAGGATTGTAAATACACCAATCAACACTCTGTGTCTAGCTGAGGGATTGTAAATGCACCAGTCAGCACCCTGTCAAAACGGACCAATCAGCTCTCTGTAAAATGGGCCAATCGGCAGGATGTGGGTGGGGTCAGATAAGGGAATAAAAGCAGGCTGCCCGAGCCAGCAGTGGTAACCCACTCGGGTCCCTTTCCACACTGTGGGAGCTTTGTTCTTTTGCTCTTTGCAGTAAATCTTGCTGTTGCTCACTCTTTGGGTCCGCACTGCCTGTATGAGCTGTAACAGTCGCTGTGAAGGTCTGCAGCTTCACTCCTGAAGCCAGCAAAACCATGAACCCAGCAGAAGGAAGAAACTCTGAACATGTCTGAACATCAGAAGGAACAAACTCCGGACACATCATCTTCAAGAACTGTAACACTCACCACGAGGGTCCGCGGCTTCATTCTTGAAGTTAGTGAGACCAGGAACCCACCAATTCTGGACATACTAGCATCATGCTCTTGTACAGCCTGCAGAACTGTGAGCCAATTAAATCTCTTTTATTAATTACCCAGTCTTAGGTATTTATTTATAGCAATACAAGAACAGAATAGTACACTGTCCTTCAGACTTGTTTCCAATTCTGATTTTTCTTCCTCTGAATAACCAATAAAATTGAAGAGTTGGGCTTCTTAGAAGGAGCTATTACAACATTGCAGAAGAGTTTTTTTTTTTTTTTTTTTTTTTTTTTTGTGGAGTCTCGCTCTGTTGCCCAGGTTGGAGTGCAGTGATGCAATCTCGGCTCACTGCAAGCTCCGTCTCCTGTGTTCACGCCATTCTCCTGCCTCAGCCTCCTGACCTGCCACCATGCCTGGCTTATTTTTTGTATTTTTAGTAGAGACAGGGTTTCACCGTGTTAGCCGGGGTGGTCTCGATCTCCTGACCTTGTGATCCACCGGCCTTGGCCTCCCAAACTGCTGGAATTACAGGCATGAGCCACCAAGCCTGACTGAGTTTTTAGAAAGAGTAGATATTCAACAATGGCTCTCAAATATAATTTATCAGGATTCTTCCACAAAAGAAAATTTTATGAGTTCCACACGTTAACATTTGTAGAGTCATTTCATATTCTAAAAATATTCAATTCTGACTCTAAAAAGTGGTTATGACTTACTTGTAACTTCTAGTATAGACCCAAGAATGTACAGGCTAGTATACATTAGCTTCCAGTAGTGACTCTGTAATTGGCAATTCTGTGACACTGGACAAGTCACTTGGGCAGTTTATCTCTTCTCAGACTCTATTTCCTTACCTATAAAATAGAGATAAAAAGAGTATCCTTTTCAGAGAGTTGTTGTGAGGTTTACATTAGATAATAATTAACTTTAAATAAACAGTGTAACATATATCAATGACTTAATAAATATTAGTAATACTATTATTTACATATTTTTATATCATTTATACTCCTCTATGTATATACAAATTCAAAATTACTTTTTCTGACAGAAAGAACGTTTACATAAATTAGTTTAAGAAACAAAGCAACTTTTTGTACAAATCTTTTTACAAGGGTGAACAATAGAGATGTTTTAATGATTACGCTGGTATTTTATAATGTATTCCTTTTCTATTGCTCCTACTATAAATTTCCACAAAATTGGTGCCTTAAAATACCATACTTTTTTTAACCTTATAGTTTTGTAGGTTAGAAGCGCAACATGAGCCTCATTGGACTAATATCAAGATGTCAGAAGGGCTATAACCATTCTGGAGGCTCCAGGGGAGAATTCCTTTCCTTGTTTTTTTTTTTTTTTTTTCAGCTTCTAGAGGCCGTCCAGATTTTTTTGGCTTATGATTGCCTTCTTCCCTCTTCAAAGGCAGCAATGATGCATTTTTCTGTGTCTTTTTTCCATAGACACATCTGCTTCTGACTTCTTCTGCCTCCCTCTTGAACATGTAAAGACATTTGTGATGAAAATGGGCCTACACAGGTAACCCAAAATAATCATATTTTAAGATCTACTGATTAGCAATTTTAATTCCTTCAGTAACAACATCTTTTTTTTTGCCATCTTAACCTAATTTATTCTAAGGTTCTAAGAATTAGGAGATAAACATCTTTGGAGAGCCATTAGAAAGAGAGAGAGAGAGGGAGAGTGTTTTTATGATTCTGATAATAGTAATTCCATTATATGATAGTTATGTCATTTAAAAAATCAATTCTACTTTTCATTTTGCATTCCAAAAGATAGTGAGAAACGTCTTTTTGAAGCACAGTATTTATTATGAGTGTTTGTAAAATGATACATTTGACACATATAGAAGCTAAAGGTTAGTATCAACTAAAGTTGCAGACCTTAAATTAAACTGTCTCTCTGATATATGTTTATTATGGTACAATTAATGTATTTATCTTATAATTTACTCCAACTATACATTATCTATTAATATTCCCTTTCACTGAAAAAATTATAATATGTAATTAAACATGTAATTATTTTTTGAGCAAAATAACTAAAAGAAAAAGAAAAAAGGACAGATTTGTTTCCTAGGAAAAATGGGTAAAACCTGTTTTGATCACAGATGAGATATCTGCTTGGGATTTTCTAGTCAGAATTTTACTTTATTATTTTACCATCTTAGTATATTTAAAATACAAATGTTTACCCCATTTTTATACATATTAAATTATGTTCAATGTCTATTAACATTTTGGGCTCTTTAAAATAGTGTATATTCTAGTTACTGGTCAATGGTTTGGTGAGTAGAGATAGGTAGAACAAAAAAAGTTCACTTTCCTGGAATGTTAATTTTACACAAAATTTTGGCTAAGTATCCCTCTTTATGTTTAAATTGAAGAGTCATTTCATAAAATACAGTGCAATATTTATATGTTTTCATGACAAATTTTGGTCTACTGAGAAATACATTCTTGTAATGTAGCAAATTTATGTTGTAACTTGAAGAACTACGCCTGGGCATGTTTAATTCTTCCCTGCCAGGAGAGGGCCTGTATTAATTCATTTTTACACTGCTATAAAGAACTACCTGAGACTGGATACTTTATGAAGACAACAGGTTTAATTCATTCACAGTTGCACAGGCTGTACAGGAAGCATGGTTGGGGAGCCCTCAGAAAACTTATAATCATGGCAGAAGGGCAAAGAGGAAACAAGGACACATTACCCTGGTGGACCAGGAGAGAGATAGTGAAGGGGGAAATGCTACGCACATTTAAACAACCAGATCATGTGAGAACTCCATCACAGAGCAGCAAGAGGGAAATCTACACCCATGATCCAATTACTTCCCACCAGGTTTCTCCTCAACACTGGGGATTACAATTCAACATGAGATTTGGGTGGGAACACAGAGCCAAATCACACTGTTTTGCCCCTGGCCTTTCCCAAATCTCATGTCCTTCTCAATTTTCAAAATCAATCATGCCTTCCCAAAAGTCCCCTAGAGTGTTAACACATTTCAGCATTAATTCACAGTCCAAAGTCTCATCTGAGAAAAGTCAAGTATCTTCCGTCTATGAGTCTGTAAAATAAAAAAGCAAATTAATTACTTACAAGATGCAATGGAGGTACAGCATTGGGCAAATGCTCCCATTCCAAATGCAGAAATAATACAAAACAAAGGGGCTACAGGCCCCATGCAAGTCTGAAACCCAGCAGGGAAGTCATTAAATCTTAAAGCTTCAAAATAATCTCCTTTGACTCCATGTTTCACATCCAGGACACACTGATACAAGAGGTGGGCTCCCAAGGCCTTGGAGAGCTCAGCCTCTGTGGCTCTGCAGGGTACAGCCCCTGCAGCTGCTTTCATGGGTTGGCATTGAGTGTCTGCAAGAAAGCTGTCAGTGTATCTACCATTCTCAGGTCTGGAGGGTGGTGGACCTCTTCTTGCATGACCACTAGGCAGTGCCCCAGTGGGGACTCTGTGTGGGGGCTGCAACCCCACATTTCCCCTTTGCACTTTGCTAGTTGAGCTTCTCTATGAGGGCTCTGCCCCTGCAGTAGACTTCTGCCTGGACATTCAGGTATTTCCATACATCTTCTAAAATCTAGGCAGAGGCTCCCAAACCTCAACTCTTCTGCACACTTGCAGGCCCAACATCACATGGAAGTTGCCAAGGCTTAGGGCTTGCACCCTCTGAAGCAACAGCCCCAGCTGCACCTTGGCTCCTTTTAGCCATGGCTACAGCTGGAGCACTGAGATGCAGAGCACAATGTCCCAAGGCTGCACCAGTGGGGCCCTGGGCCTGGCCCATGGAACTATTTTTCCCCACTAGGCCTCTGGGCCTGTGATGGGAGGGACTGCTACAAAGGTCTCTGAAATATATTGGAGGCCTTTACCCCATTGTCTTGTCCATTAACATTCAGTTCCTCTTTACTTATGCAAATGTGTGCAGCTGGCTTGAATTTCTCCCCAGTAAATGGGTTTTTATTTTTTACCACATGGTCAGGTTGTAAATTTTCCAAACTTTTGTGCTCTGATTCCCTTTTAAATATAAGTTCCAGTTTCAGATAATCTTTTTGTTCATACATATAAGTATGTGCTCTTAGAAGAAGCCAGGTCACTTCTTGAATGTTTTGCTGCTTAGAAATTTCTTTCACCAGACACCATAAATCATTTCTTTCAAGTTCAAAGTTCCACAGATCTCTAGGGCAGGGGCATGATGCCACCAGTCTCTTTGAAAAAACATTACTCAAGTTTCCAATAAGTTCCTCATCTCCATCTGAGACCACCTCAGCCTGAATTTCACTGTCCATATCACTATCAGCATTTTGGTTAAAACAATTAAGTCTCTAGGAAGTTCCAAACTTTTCCTTATCTTTCTGTCTTCTTCTGAGCCCTCAAAACTATTCCAACTTCTGTCTGTTAGCCAGTTCCAAAGCTGCTTCCATATCTTAAGATATCTTCATAGTAATGCCCCTCTTCTCTGGTACCAATTTTCTCTATTAATCTATTCTCACATTGCTATAAATAACTACTTATGACTAAGTAATTTATTAAGAAAAGTGGTTTAACTGACTCACAGTTCCACAGGCTGTAGAGGAAGCATGGTTGGGGAGGCCTCAGGAAACTTACAATCATGGAGGAAGGGCAAAGGGGAAGCAAGCACATCTTACCATGGTAGACCAGGAGAGAGAGAGTGAAGGGGAAAGTGCTATACAATTTTAAACAGTCAGATCTCATGCAAACTCTATCAGCAAAACAGCAAGGGAGAAATCCGCCCCCGTGATCCAATCACCTCCCACCAGGTTTCTTCCCCAGCATTGGGGATTATAATTCAACAATGATACTTTGGTGGGCACACAGAGCCAAACCATATCATTGTACCTCTGACCAAAAAAATGCTTAAACAAACAATCAAAACATCCAAAAAAGCAAAAAAAAAAAAAAAAAAAAAAAAAGAAAAACAAAAAAAAAAACAGATAAAATACGCAATACCAATATAAATATATAAATTGCTTATGGGCATTAGAAACAGCAAAATCATAAAAGTAAAAAGTGAAAAGGTTTAGGATGCTGAATAAGGAAGAACATTAGAGTGGTGAGCTAATTATCTGCAACCTGATGGTCGCTGCTTGCTTTGCTTTTTCAATTTTGGGTGTTCACAAGAGGCTAAGATTTTGGACTTTATCTAGGCAGTGACTCACTCCTGTAGCAGCACAGAAAAAAGAAATTTTTGAAGTCCTGCAGAGTTAAAGTACTTTATATTCAAAACATTCTGAATTCTGAATTCTGTGCAGCATAGATGTCTAAAAGCTAAGCTGAGTAGAATTTTGGCAGTCTTGCAGCACTTAAGAGATAAAGATTAGAATTCAGTACATCTCCAGAAGACTGGCCCATGTTAATACACTAGGATTTCAGCTGGAAGGCTGAGATTAATCCAGACTTCCCTCATTTCTGTGACTAATTAGCTTAAGGAAATGAGCTCACGAATATTTCTCTTTAGTAAAGAATATAAAGAAGCATCTCTGGAGGAGGATCATTTCACCTGAAACCTATAGATTTATAGAAACAAAACAAAACAAAAACAGACTGACACAAAATAAAAATAAAAATTGCTCAACATGGTTAGGTGTGGTGGCTCATGCCTGTAATCCCAGCACTTTGGATGACTGAAGCAGCAGAACTGCTTGAGGTCAGGGAGTTCAAGACTAGTCTGAGCAATATATCGAGACCCACGCCCCTCACCCCCAGCACCCTCCATCCCTGACTCTACAAGAAGTACAAAAATTAGCTGGATATGGTGGATTGCGCCAGTAGTCCCAGCTACTAAGGAGACCAGGTTGGGAGGATCACATGAGCCCCTAGAAGTTGAGACTACAGTATGCTATGATTGTGCCAATGCACTGCAGCCTGGGTGACAGACTGAGACTCTGTCTCTAAGACAAAAAACAAACAAACAAACAAACAAAAAACAAATGGAAAACAAAAGAATCACTCAACATGCCAACAAACAGGGTCATATAATGATAAACTAACAGGACTTAAAAAAAAAAACCTGAAAATAGATCTGCACATGATCCAATTATGTAAGTCAGCACCAAATACTTTAAAATGCAATTAATATATTATAAAAATTGATATCACTTACAAAACCAGATAAAAGTAGGGAGAAAATCATTGAGTATAAGAATGTGTTGAAAGTATCAAAAGTTCTAGATGTAAAAAAATACATATTTGAAGATCAAAATTCAGTAAATGGAATATTAGAGAATAAATATTAAATTATTGAAATTGAAGGTAGATAATAGAAAATATACAAATGGAAGGACAGAGAATAAAGAAACCAGTTTAGAAAGTAAACATAGGTGGCAAATGGTAAAAGTCAAATCTAGTAAAACAGTTCTGAATGTATTAGAAAAAATGGTGATGTTTTGAGAGGAAGATATTGGAAAGTATCTTCCATTGGGGAAGGCAAAGATTTATTTATCACGATAATAAAAAATTAAATAATTTCAATATATAACTTTAGAACATATTTGACATTACTAAAATTGTAAATTATGTGAAATGACATATATTATAAAATATAACCTCTTTTGGAAAATTCAAGAAGATCTTCATTTTGTGTGTCAAATATTATAATATTTAGTTTTGAATCTGTTGTAGTTTCAAACCTTCTAGTACATTTTTGTAAGCATGCATTCAAATACAGACTGATACACATCTATTGTATCTGCGACCCTAATTGGCCGTAAGTAGTATTGTTTTCGATGGTATGCTTTTTCCAAAATAGTGAACAATTATTATTAAATATTTTTAAAATAATTTGCATGTTAGTTATAACCCTGGAATTTCCAGTAAATATTTAAACTGCTTAAAAATACATTTTGATCCAGAGATAGAGTTAAATTTTTGGCTCTAGTAATTTATCCAAGGCAAAAGATAATTCTTCATTATGTGTGACTCACTCAAACCAGAACATGCTTCTTCCCCCACACTTATGTCTTGAGAATTACTGTCTTAAAAATATTTTAGGGAAACTTTCAAAAGCATAGTATACTCTTATTTTCCAGTCATCACCTGTTGATCCTCTCTCCTTCTCAAACTCATGCTCCATCATTTAAAAATTATTTTAAAGATGTATCTTACAGCTATAACCTCATTCTAAACGCAGTTAATAATCCCCACCCAAACTAAGATCTCCCACCTGGGCTACCAAAATAATTATCCATGATTCCTTGCTTCTACTTTTGCCTATTTTCCCATCTGACCTCCAAATCATATATTCATAGAATAAAGAAAATATTTTTTTCCTTAATTATAGTGTCACTTATCTGCTTTCATTTTTTAAATGTCTTTTTCTTCCACTTTGACTGAAACTCTATTTTTTGTTGTTGTTGTTTTTGGCCTGGAAGTTGCTGCAAGACCTGTCCTTTGGCTGCCTCTCTAATTTGGTGTATTACCGCTCTTCCACTCATTATCCCCTGACACATTGGCCTTTAAATTCTCCAGGCAAATATGATGCCCAGGAATCTTGAAATGCCTCGTAGGTCCCAGCTTCCTGGAATATGCCAGAGGTACATGGCTTGATCCTGTGTTTGATTCAATTAGGTCAGATAACTCTTTTTCTGTCTAAACCAGCACTCAATCCACTTAGTGAATGTTTTTCTTCATCAAACCTATTAAAAATTGACATTATGTTACATATTTATTCATTAACAATATTCTATTTTCTCTGGATGAAATTTCTAAAAAGCAGAAATTGCTGATTTAATTGGCTGTTTCCTTTACCTAAAAAACTCCTAAGAATTCATATCTGCTGACACAATAAATGTTAAATTCATTAATACATAATGAAATAGTTTTTTTTATCTGAACTTTTGGAAAAATAGGTAAAGTAGATTAATATTAAAGGTTATAGGATGTTTTCTTTAAAACAATTTTCAATTTTCCTATTAAGAGAAAAGTTATTTCTCTTTTCCCTCTTCCTACACAATATATCAGTTTATGAGATCATAAAGAAATATATATTTTTATCTAAAGGAGGATTTATTTCATCCTGAAATCTTTGGTTGAATAGTTATTATTTTAATACTTACTAAAACAAACTTTTTATGCTTCTTCCATTGGAATATTTTCAAATTCCGCACTTGTATTCTTTAAATAAGCAAAGGGAATTACCCAGCCACAAAAGACTTACTGTAACTCAGGTGCCGATGGGAAATTTAATATTTTTAATAAAATATTGAGGTATGTTATTGTACGTTTTGTGTTGTGTGATTTGTAATACAAATATGCTTGTCTCAGTTTTAAGAAAAGAGAACACTCTGGAAAAACTCCTTAGGGTTATATACAGGTAATGCAAAGTCAGTGAAATTTTGAGTTATCCCAATGGTCCTGGCAGAAAGAATTAACTTTTCTATAAAATGAGAGTATGTCCAATGCAGAGGAATTGAATCTATGAATTCAAATTTTGTGGCATCAGAAGCCTGTGGTATTTTAATGATGACTTCATTTCATTTAGTGGAATTGTCACAGATTTATAATTATTTAATCTTCTGAACATTAAGCTATCTTACCTGTAAACAATAAAATTGTAATTTTGCACAGATACCATTATCTTTTAACAAAAGATAACAAAACAAAATCTTTTAAAAATAACAAAAAATTGTATGATGATACAGTTTGTCCATATGTAATCTTTAGGTAGAAAGGATCATAATCAATGTTCATTTACCATTGGTAATATTTATTTATTATTATTACTGAAGACCTACATAGATATATTTGCATATATATTTACACTAAACAAATGGCTTTGGCACAAAAAAACTCTTAATAATTGTAATATTTATTGTAGCATACAGGATTATTTTATTTTCTGATTTCTACTTTAGCTTCCTGGAAGATATCAACTTTTTTTATGGAAATTAAATAACTGTTTACTTAAAACAATGCAAGGAACAATGGGGGAGTGGTAATTTCAGACTTTCATATTTTGTTTTATTGCTGGTTTTCTGCTTAGAATTAGCAAGTCTATGCTCTATGCCCAGAATTATAATTTTTAAGAATATTACTATCAGTAAATAGATCAAAGTTCATGAAAAAATATAACATTTATTGTAAGTCTTTTTAAAGTATATTTTTAATCTTTACAATTAGACTATTAGTATCTCAGAAAGAAATACATACAGTAAGTTCTCAGCATCCTCAATTTTGTTGTTGAGGGGTGTGTATGTGTCTGTTTGTGTTTATCATTGCATACTTTCAGTTATGGTTTTCTTTTTGTATTAATGTCCAAAAGTGTTAGAATTATGTCACAACATTCACACTTTAATGCATAGTAAAAAAGATTATTTAAAAGATGCTCTGTCAAATAAAATTTGATAGTAAAACAGGAAAGTAAAACAGTTTTACTTTGCAGACATTATTAAAACATATCAATAACATATTAATCATATTATTAATATATGATTATTTTCAAAACTGTGCTCAGAATAAAAGTGTAAATTTATCTTTAAAATTGGATTATGTAAAATAAAAATTTTATGTTGCTCTACTTTATATAAATTAGTTATAAAATGTTAGTGAACAAAACAGTAATTTTTATTAAGTTTTATATGTATTAAGTACATTTAGCTTTACAAAAGCTGACGCATCACAAAGATAAATATCTAAGGTATAACTACAAATACTGTAATCAGTTTTGGGAAAGCAAAAATTTAGTCAGTTTTTCACACAAAAAATGTTTCACTAATTTCAAAAATTCATTCTTTTAGTTTAGTTACATTTGGAAATATTTAAAACCTAATTAATTATATATTGATTTGTATGCATTTGAATTATTACAGTGAGCAATCTGTAATGGAGAAAAATTATTTAAGACTGGTTGCTGTTCTTCATAAAATTACAGTCTGGTAAGCCAGTACACATACTTGAAACTATTGATATATTAAAAATCGTATCTTAGAACTTTTTAAATTAGAAAACAGACATTTAAACATGTTATCTCAACCTGACATTTTTAGAGACTTAAAAAATACTGCTTCAAAGATAGAAATTTCTGAAGAGCAATAGTTGATAACTACATAATATTGCTGCTGTAACAATGTTCAGCTTTGATGCACAAAGTCAATGAAGAAGGTTTTCATCAGCATCTTAAGATCTCAGCACACATTTTCTTACACAGAAAAGAAATCTGCAAATCACATCACAAAATTGTCTGCACTACTCAGATGATGAAGCTTTAAATCTTTTCCTAATTCAGGTTTATAGCTCCATTTCATTTATAAGAGATAGGGAGAAGTATATATTTTATAAGCTAATGTGTATATTGAACTAGTAAAACAGCTAGCCTTCCCACTCAGACTCAAGCATAAGGAACAGAAAATGTTTGGATAAAGAATGGAAAAACTACACAGGCTGGAATATAAACACAAGAGTGGAGGGAGGAGGAGCTCAGTCTGAGGAAGATTCTTACTGTTTCATATATACCCTATTTATCCTTGTCAGTATTAATTTAGTATTAAAGTTTGGCATCTCTCTTTTAAGAAACTATTCCTGAATATTTTTCAGTATTTATGCAATTTCAATATGTATTTTAAAAGCAAAAATAAGTGAATACAACATAAATATATGTACAAACATACATATTTGTACTACACAATATATGACACAATTAAAATCATATTATTTTCAGATGATGTATTGGTTAGGATTGTCCAGAGGAAAAAAAAACCAATAGGATAAATATAGGTATATATTCTTATGTGATTTAGTGGAAGGCTCAAGAATCAGAAACTCCAATATCCAAGGGTAGGGGAAGATGCATGTTCTAGCTTAAGAAGAGAGAAAGAAAAAGCTCATCCTCTGCTTATTTGTTCTATGAAAGCCCTCAACAAATTGGATGATGCCTGTCCACATTAGTGAAGGCAGATCTTCTTTACTCAGTATACTGATTCGAATGTTAATCTCTTCTGGAAACACCCTAACAGACACACACAGAAATAATGTTTACCAGCTATCTGGGTATTGCTTAGTCTGGTCAAGTTGACACATAAGATTAACTAGCACAGATAATTTTTCTACTTTCAAATTATTAAATTGTTTCATATCTGCATAAATAAATGTTTTATATTTAATCCCCAAATGTGTAGCAAAATTCACAAGTTATTTAGTTGATACAGTTTTTGTACAATATGTGGAAATTGTTTATATTCTAGTACCGTCAAACAAAATACTAACTAAGCTGATACTGTAGGAAAGAGGAATATTCTTAGTGCTTGAATAAGAATTATTTAATTCTTAACAAAATTTAACTATTCCAGCTCAAAAATAATTTTGAATTTTTTCTCAATTTAAAAAACTGAAAAGCAATATTTTTGAAATATAACAAACAAAATACTTAACAAAAGCATAACTGAAAAGCTTGAAGACCCTTAGTTACAGTGGTCCAAATGTGGCATTATAAAGCTTGAATGGGTCTAATTATTGCTCCTTTCATCTTTAAGAAGCTGCTTACGTCTGGGCGTGGTGGCTCACGCCTGTAATCCCAGCACTTTGGGAGGCTGAGGCGGGTGGATCACCTGAGATCAAGAGTTTGAGACCAGCCTGGCAAACATGGTGAAGCCTCGACTCTAATAAAAATACAAAAATTAGCCAGGCGTGGTGGTGAACACCTGTAATCCCAGGTACTCGGGAGGCTGGGGCAGGAGAATTGCTTGAACATGATAGCCAGAGGTTGCAGTGAGCTGAGATCGTGCCACTGCACTCCAGCCTGGGCAACAGAGTGAGATTCCATCTCAAAAAAAAAAAAAAAAAAAAGAAGAAGTTGCTGACAAAGGGTTTAGAGTTTTCACTTAAAAAGCTAGAATACAATTTACAAATAATAAAGAGATTTGAGCTCAACAAAAAGATGATGTTAATATGAACTATGCAGTTGACTCTAAAACATATTGTAATCCCAGCACTTTGGGAGGCTGAGGTGGGTGGATCACCTGAGATCAAGAGTTTGAGACCAGCTTAATTTTTAAAAAATTTAAAAAATTTTTAAAAATTAAGTACAGTATAAATCTGTACTTAAAGTGTATATGTGGATCACAGTGAACAGTATATTCCTATTCATTTAAATAAGACAACTGAAAATTATTATTTTTGCTTTCTACTGGATCTTAGTTTCATGGATGTATATCTTTGTGTGTGTATGTAAGCATGTGTGTATAAATGTGAATTATATTATGTATTTCTATATATTAGCTATATATTAACTGCATATATTAGCACTGCAACATGAAATATACATAGCAGTGTATGTTAAAGTGTCTTATGGAGAAGAAATTCTAACTACAATGAAATTATTCCCAGACCACATGCTTTTTATTGACCTCTGTGTGTGTGTATATACGCATTCAATTTTCCTCACAATATTTTCTGATGTATTTTGTCTTTTCTAACGTTGTGACCTTCTTTTTGTTTTTTTATTTCCCAAAAGTTTCCTCCAATCTTCTGGATAATTCTCTAAGCTAATCAAATTTCATAAGATATTTTCTAAATTAAAATCAGCCAGTCATTTTGTTGCTTGCTGCTAAGACACTAAGTAGTGTAAATAATAAATAGGTATTTCTTTGTGGTAGGAGAAAACATTCAACACATATTCTAATAACTATGGAGAAAATATCTGGGCTATAAAAGCCAAACTACTCTAGAACAAAAATGACTTGTTCTTTAAATGCAAGTATTATGTAGACATGGGGGAAGCTAAGAAGCCAGACAGAAAGAGAAAGAGAGGTACGATAATTGATCATACAGCATAATCAAAAGAGGCACAATACATTGATTTCCTTGGGAGGAAATAATGTAAGGATCAATATATTAGCTTCTATACGGGTTGGGAAACATGTGGGCACAAAATAGCCAATTCAAGTGCAGTTCTTCAGTCTGAAGTGGGGTAAGAAAGTGTTCCCGGCTAGTCACAAATTATGGGCAGATGTGACGCATCTGTTGCTTACACCTGAGTAAGCTAATTAGTTAATTAAATTCTTGGGAGGAGCAGAAAAATAAGCCTGAAGCACAAGGTTTGCCCCAGCAGAGTTGTCCGTTGTACTTCCAAAATGCATTTGAATTTCAAGCTCTCTGATTAGTGGGAAAGAAAGCAAAGAAGGATTTTATTTGAAACCATAAGAAATTAATTAAATAAGAGAAAAAGGATACTGTATTAGAAACGAGGGAAAATGCACGCTTACAAAGTTTCCATTTAATTGGTTTTGTTTTGAAATTAAATAAATTTATACCTATTCAAGGCAATGTTACTAAATTAGACATTTTATTATGTAAGAATAAAATTTATCATCCTCAATTTCACTTATCTAGGGAAAAAAAAGCCCTTAATTTTCTGACAACACTTAATAAGGCACAGGGTCAGCTGTTAATTAGGCCACTAAGGTCAGCAAATCTATTTGTTACTATGATTAGGCTTTGTTTGCTGGCTCTGTAGAAGGCATATTTATGTGAACCACACTTTCCACTCATAATTCACATAATTGGGCAAATTCAGAATGCTAAGATTTCCTCAGTTTTAAGGTCAACGTTTATTTTATACTAAAGTTTTTGATTGAATGTCTTGTTAATGCAGTTGTCTTCTTATACATTAAATTTAAAAATATTTTTGCATAGACCATGTAGACAGCATTTAGCTACATGCAGAATACACTATCTAAAGAAGTTTGAACTACAATCTATATTATATAAGTTTTGAAATACAGGACATTTGTAATTTGTTTTTTTTAAGTTTTAATTTTCAATTTGTGTGGGTACATAGTAGATATATATATTTATGTGATACATGAGCTGTTTTTGATACAGGCATACAATGGATAATAATCATCTTAGGGTAAATGAGATATCCATCACCTCAACTATTTTTTTTTTCTTGTTTAAAAAACATAATTTAACATTTAGCATTGTTGTAAACTACCTGCTTTCAACAAGTGAAGTTTTAAAAAGCCATACATTAATACTTCAGTGTTTTGGTCACAATGGAAGTGTTGGAACTAAAGTAAACCACTTGTATTGAAGCTAAAATTAATAAATTCTATTTTATATTAGATCATATTAACTCACCACAATTCATGAAAGAGCACTAGAGATTACACTTGCAAAGATTTATAAAATATTAAAGACACCTACATGATATAGGGGAAAAATGTGCAATTACATTAAAATAAAAATTTGAATTAGTTTCTTTGTTTACTAGTATATTTGATTTTTTTTAACTTAATGCCTCTTGAAGGGAAAATATTCAGTTTTTTTCTTATAATAAACTGTCCCTTTATTCTAATTCTAATAATGTAATTCTTAAGAATCTTGAAATAAAGTATAATAAACTGTCCCTTTATTCTAATTCTAATAATGTAATTCTTAAGAATCTTGAAATAAAGTAAGAAAGAATACTGTTAAAGGAGGATAACTGCTTGATCATTAAAATAATATATTCTTGTAAAGTGTATTGTAAATGACCCAGTGTGCCCTTTAAGTGCTTCCACATGAGGCAGTAAAAATCAGTGCATTACATTTGCAAAGTCAATAAAGCTGGCATAAAAAGAGATACTTTGCTTTTAGTAACATCACATAGCCATTACATAGAAACACAACATTAAATAGCTTTAATTCTCTACAGTTAACAATTTTCCACAAAATACATGTATTTCAAGACCAGAAATTATTTCATATGTCTCCTTAGCAGGTATAAATCAATTAAAAAATAATGTGAATATTTTTCAAACTTCACATATGTTATAGCGAGAAATACTTAAAAAATTAATGGAAAAAATAATTTCCAAAAGGATATGTTTAAATAATATGAAACATCAGAAAAATGCTATATTTGTTTGTGATTATTTTAGCTTATCTAAATGTCTACATAAAACATAAACTTTAAGATATAAATACTACAAATTATGCTAAAGATAGGGCAATCATGAATGCAACATAATTTACAAACTAGTATAATTTGCTTGGAAATAAAAATAATTTTCTTCTGGAAAATGTTAGATAGATTCCTCTTTTATGAAATTGGCTAATGGAGCTTGATTCTCAATATTACAGTTAGTAGTTATATTTTTTAGAGTTTTGTCTAAGCAATGTAATTTATGCCATTAAAGTAGGACTGAGTTACAATAAGGGAGGAGGTTCTTATCTTTACCAAAGAGTTTGTGGTAAAAATGGAAATAAGAAATTATAATATACGTTCATGTATTCAAAACCTTGCCTGGCTGGCTCATTGTTGCACATAAATCTACATAATACTCATTATCATTGATTGCCTAGGTGCCGTGAAATAGCTTATGCTCCTGTTGATTTTTAAAGATTGTAACCTTTTGCAAATACCCAACTATATGATTATATTGAATTATTTTTCCAAAAATAATCTTTATTTTACACATGAAATATGGATTCAGCAGTGTTTTTAAGTTAAAGTGACCTTGGCAAGCCAATACCCTTTCAGGGCTCAATTTTCCTGTTTCCAAGATGTGATAACAATACTTGCCTCTGTTTACTTAGAAAAGAATGAAAATAACAAAGATGAAGCAGATTCTCCCAGGGCCTAAAATAGCTCCTGATAGTAAATGAAATACCTTATAGAAACTGAATTAACTTTTCCTGTCCACTAAGTAAAGTTTGAGTAAGTTACTATATCAAAATCATAGAAACTCAAAGAACAGAAGTAAAAATACAACATAACTAAATTAAGCTTTACATTGATTTGGAAATACTATAGAGTTAATTCTGTAATATAAACGTAATAAAGAAAAAGGCACGAAGGCAGGAATTGGTAAGGAGAAGAGGTGTTGTTAATAATATTACCTCTAGAGTGGCTCACAGTTTATAAATACCATCACATACTTTATTTATTTTGATTCTCCTAATAATAACTTGAAGTAATGTCCTGCAATGGGTTGTGGCAGATATGTTATGTGTCCCTCACATCCTCCAAGAAATCTTTATTTTTCCATTGCCTACAGTGTGGTTAGTTGGCAGCTTTCTTCTCTTTGTTAGTATTTTCTCAACTTTTAAGCCAAGGTTATGCTATTCTCAAGGTGCCCCCCAGCCAATGAATGACAAGGTGGTGATAACTGAGAACACTCTCTTTTCAGGAAGGCTCCCAGCCAGTGACTAAGCAGAGCAATGGTATAATGGTCTATTCCTTCCCATTCTACTTGGCACACTTCACATGGGCAATTTTTGCTCCAAAGCTCCCCTGTGGATTAACGGTCCTATCTATGTCAAAGTTATATGCTTAGCCCTGTCTGATTCTTCTCTCTCCCTTTCCTTTTCACAGGCATTAACTCTCCAATAGTATGTTGTATGTCTAAATCTGTTTTCAAAGAGAACCCAACTTAAAAAGGGGAATGGACAAACCCACGAATTGTTCTATGGAGTATATATAGTTAATTTTGTGTATCAACTGGACGGGGTCGCAGGGCACCCAGATATTTAGTTACACATTATTTCTGGATGTATCTGTGAGGATGTTTCCAGAAAAGATTAGCATTTGAATCAATAGATTGAGTGATGATCAAACTATCCAATGTGGGTGGGCATCTTTCAATCCAATGAGGGCCTAAATAGAACAAAAAGGCAGAGGGAGGAAGAGTAATTTTTCTCAGCCTCACTGCTTCAGCTGTGACATCAGTCTTCTCCTGATTTCAGACTGGGACTTAAACAACTGGCACTCAGGCCTTCAAGTTGGATTAGAGCTTGTACCATTGGTTCTCCTGTTTCTCAGACCTTTAGATTCCAACTAAAGCTGCACCATCAGCTTTCCTGGGTCTCCAGCTTTCAGATAGAAGCCAGTGGGATTTCTCAGCCTCTATATTTGCGTGAGCCAATTTTTTTTAATAAATCTTACACACACACACACACACACACACACACACACACACACACAATTGATTTGTTTTTTCCTCTGGAAAACCCAAACCAATACAGGTTGTAAATAAATTTAAAATTATTATGGAAAACCTTAGAAACCAAGAATTAGCATAGAGTGAAGACCTCCCCAATTTCTCCCAATTGTGTGTAGAAACAATTGACAGCACTTTATCATACTTGGGGATCATTTTCAGTAGTAAAACGACAAAAACCTTACCAACAAAAGGACAAAAATTTGAAAAACATGAAATTAAATAGGCAATGGTAGCGATACTTGTTTATAGTATGACAGCTGAAACAAGAAGGCAGTGCCATCACGGTTCAAATTCAACTGGGAACATGCATGTCAGGTGACTCAAATAGTTCTCTCTCTTCACATGTTTGCAAATGACTGCAAATGTCCTGGAAAGTATTGATTTGAAAATTACAAATAAATTTTCATGAGTAGGGGAAATTTCAGTATGGAATATTTGAATAAAAAATTTGATTCTGTACATTTTTATTTGTTAATATGCTTTTTAAACTGAATAATTGCGATTTTAAAAATTAGATTTCCTTCATGGGAGCAAATGTCTTAAAATAATCAGTATCTGACTGGGCATGTTTATCTTCCTGAAACCCTGTTTATCTTCCTGAAACCCTGTTTGTCACCTTTCAGCATCAAATAGAAAATTATACACTTTGAATGGTTTCTATGTTATCTTTACTGTGGTGGTAGAGACATATCAGGTCCCTTCTATTTTTTCCACTCAACTGAGATCTAGGAACATCATGATCATAAATTTGAATATATTCCTATTTCTCAAACTACTCTGAATACTAGACATTATAATTTTATTGGACAGTCTGAACTTGCTATCATGACTTCCATTACTTAATAAAGAAAAAAAAGCTCAACATTTTGTATATGTAATGTACTGAATTAGTAAATGCTAGCTCATTGTGAAGGTTAATTGTATATGTCAATTTGGCTAAGCCATGATTCTCACTGGTCAAACACGAGTCTAGAAGTAGCTATGAAGGTTTTGTTTTTTGTTTTGTTTTTAGCTGAGACTAACACTTAAACCAAGAGACTTTGAGTAAAGCAGATTGCCCTCCATAATATTAATGTGCCTCCTCCAATCAATTTAAAGCCTAAAGAGAAAAGACTGAAGTCATCTAAGGAAGAGGGAATTCTGCCTTGAGATTGCTTTTAGACTTGAGTTACAACATAAACTATTCTCTGGGTCTACAGAATGCTAGATGTCCTTCAGATTTCAGACTTGCCATCCTCCACAATCACATAAGACAATCCCTTAAAATAAATCCCTCCTTATGTATACATGCTATTGGTCCTTTTTCTCTGGAAAACTCTGACTTAATACAGTCTTTACAGTCTTATGTGATACAGATAGTAAGACAAGTTCTACAAATGGGAGCGTGTAAGCAGTTGGTAATGTTTATATAGCCTTTTGCAAAACACATGCACACACACAAACCCTAGTCACACTGAATTTATAAACAAAGAGAGTTTCTATACATAACTATCTTTAATCCTTAGTTTCAAGCATCACTGTCTATATCTATAGTACTGTTGCTTAAAAAGTGTTACCTGGGAATCATTATAATTTAATACAAAACTAAATGTTTTTAGTAACTGTCCAATTTTTGTATTGGTTTGGTACTCCTAACCCTGTCTTTTTTTATGACAATATTTTGTTATCTCCTTAATTTTTTACTTCTCTCTTGCTCTGCTTAAGAAAATTGGTACCTTCTAATTACTTTTCATAATTTCTAGTTAGAAATATATCAAACTTTCTTTGAAATGTAAGTTTTGGCATTGTGATTACTTAACTGAAAGTAAAATTTAAAAATATTACCGATATCTTTATAAAGTCAATTCTTAGTTGGTTTCTGTTAAAGTCTATTTTGATGATAAATATTGACTAAACTGCATTCAATTGAAACCCAGAGTGAAGCGGTGCCATGCATTTGCATGTAGTCATGTCTGTAGGGTTCCATTCAATTATGTAAAACCACGATTTGCTCTAATTTAAGAAATCCTAGATAACGTAAAAATGACAATCAATAATATTGAATATTACATAACTAGGAGGGTTCTTTGGAAGATAATGCAATATAAAGCATGCAAATCACCAATCTCACTTCCTTACTGATCAAAATATTATAATGTGGCAGTTCTGTTTTTAATAAATATTGTTTAGAACTAAGACCACCTATAAGAACAAATTTAACATCTGAAAAGAGTAGCAAAAAATATCTGTTTCATTGTGAGAGAACTTTGAAATAATGAAAACTCGAATGACCAAGATAACGGAAAATAGGAAGTCAAGAGAGGTAAATCCAATATTTGGCACTGCTAACTCCTTGTGACATGATTAAATTTTTGAAAAGTAGCTAAAAGGTTGGTATGCCAAATAAAAAAACCTGTTAGTAAAAGTCTACAGAGCTACAGAGGCCTCTTAGAAGTCTTACCAAGCAATGAACAAAACCAAAGTTTAGTATCTTTCAAAGAGGAGAGGCCATAAAACAATGTTTAAAGTGGGAAATATAAAGAAAATCACACTAGCATAAAGGTATACTAGAATGAGACAATACTTCATGAAGAGTTAAACAAAGATGCAAAACTAGTTCAATTCCTAGATTGAGGTCATATGTTCCTAGCCTATGAATCTAAAATTAATGAATCTTTACCATCTTTGTATAAAATAACATTAATCAAAACCTCAAATTATCACTATATTTTCACACAAAATATCTGGTAATTTATATAAAACATATATGAATACATAGGACTTGACACTAAAGCAAGTGAAAAAAACACCCCAAAGATATATTCATATATGTGTTTAACAGAAATAAAATTTGAAAGAATTGTATTGGTGTGTTCAATTTGATAAATGTCAAGGTAAATTTTTCAACAGAGAGTATAAAACAATAGTTACATGGAAACTCCAAAACTGAAAATAAAATAACTAAAATCCAGATTCAATGGGTGAGTTTTATGGCAGATTTTTAAAAGCTGAACAGAAAATTAGTGGACTGGAAGATAGATGACAAGAAAAAATACATTCTGGGGATTAGCAAAACAACAATAAAATCAATTTTAAAAATAGCATACACAGTAAATAGGATCTAGTAAGTGAAGGAACAATGATATCAAGGTCCCAGATTAAATGAAAAAGATATGAGACAGAAACTACTTGAAGAAATAATGATGGATAATTTCCAAAATGTATGATAAATTATACAGAGAATAGTAAGCTAACATAAACAAACATATTTTCATAATTAATCCCTTTTCTGTTGCTTATACTGGAATACCTAAAACTGGGTAATTTATTTTAGAAAAGAGTATTTTTCTTACTAGCATAAAAGCAGAGAAGTCTAGGGTGGACAGGCTGCATCTGGCCAGGGCCTTCTTACTGGCAGAGACCCTCTGCAGTGTCCCTATTCAGTGTGCGGCATCATATTCCTAAGGGGATGAGCATAATACTATAGCTTAAGTCTCCCTTGCTCTTCTTATAAAGCCACTACTTCTACTTCCACAGTAACCTGTTAATCCATTTATTCACAAATGAATTAATCCATTTATGTGGGCAAGGACCCTTATTATCCACTCATCTCTTAAAGGCCTCACCTGTCAATACTACCATATAGGGGATTAAGATTCAACATGAGGTTTGGAGAAGACAAACGTTTAAACCATAGCCATTTCCATTACATAAATTTACGAGGTGAGCAAAACTAATCTGATTTTGCAAGTCAGGATTGAGTTCACTTCTCAAGAGGAAAATTGAGATGGTAAGTGGGAAAAAGTAAGGCAGTTTCTAGTTTGATGGTAATGTCTTGTTTAATGAGTCTGGTCATTTTCTTACATTCATTAAGTTGTACCCTTATAGTTTATGTACTTCATTATGTGTATGTTACCCATCAATATTATTAAGCCCAAGATAATTTATTATATTATTGTTACTATTTCTAAATATGGGAAATATGTATGGAAATGTTATCTCTAGGAGAATCCCAGTAAAATAATTTAAAATGGCAACAATTTCTCTTTTGTATGTTGTTCTACAAGTTGTTGGCTATGTTGCCAGGGGCACCATTTAGTGTCAATCTAGGAGGAACTACTTTTACTTTAATCTCACCTTAGTGCTCTTATTTTTAAAAGTCCATCAACAATGATTGCTTATCCAACACTCAATAAAATCTTGAAAACCCTTGCACGTTAAAAGATAAAGCCCTTCTTAAATCATTTTCATCCCTTCTTCCCCAACTTCAACTCCTCTCTAAATCTTTCCCCATTTCACCCTCATGTGGCAAGAAAATCCACATGTATTAATCTTGTCTCTCTTAGAAATGCACACAAAAATACTTACTACAAATACATGTATTGGTGTCAAAAAATTATACTTTAGGGGAAATTATGTAATTTCTTTGAGACTTCAGGTCATATTTAGGCTTATAAAAGCCATGAGCTAACCAGGTAATCTGAAACATAATTACAGTCATTTAACAATTTTCATTAAAGCTTTAAAAATCAAATCTGGACCGTATTCAAAAGAAAGTCAGTATTAAATCAATTAAAAGTTATCAGTTGTATGTTATAGAGCAAATTAGAACAGGTGCAAAATTCATAATACCTTTGTATTCTAACTTGCTTTGCGTCATTTTTCAAACTGTTATTTTTCTATGTACTTTTATGTACTTTTACTATCAAAGCAATAATATTCACTAAATGTAAAAAGTGCAAAAGATATTTTGGGTTTTGTTGTTGTTCTCTGTATTCCAAAACATATGTTTGAAGGGCAAATTCAGTTTTCCAGATGAAGTCAGCTTGGAAATCCAAAGAATCTTTTTTGATTCATGCAGAGTCATGTATTAACCACTTGAGATTTAGATAAAAGGGATTTAAGATTTCTCTCTTCTCATTTACAGATAATTGCTTTAATAATTTACTCTCTAGTTTGTCTTCAGAAAATCAGCTTTCTAAATTAGTTGTCTATTGAAGGTCCTCAGGTGTACACAATGTCAAATTGAGTATTAACTGAAGTGTGTTCTCTATTAGAAGAAGAAATTCCATCTGTGCTTATATTCAATGCCTGGCTACTGAAATATACTTAATATCCATATCTGAATTAATTATGCAGGGAACAAAATTTACAGCATGACAAGTTAAAGCTTCTATCCTTTCATTATCCAAAGGATGCAGATCATCCATTAAACAGTTGGCCAACATGAAAAGCATTCGACGTTACGTATTTGTAATGAAATATATGTATATATGTATCAGGTAAAACACATTCAAATAACAGTATCTTGTACTAATGTTGTCATTTAAATTATAGTTTGTACTTAGCTATTTTCCACAGACATATAAAATAGACCAACTTTATGAATCCTTCGGAAAATATTTGATTTGATTTGAAATAAGATGCAACATGAAACATCTAATTGTAGTGATGATTGCTCCACAAGACTCCAATTTGACTGCGTCCTCAACATAGTCAGAGTTTAATAGTAGAATAAAAGTAAATACGTAGAGTTGGTAGCTCCTGAATGCTTTTATAGAAACTGACTACTGGTAGCTACATCAAACTTGGATGTTTTAAGTCTCAATTATATGTCCAGAAAAGGCAGACTGACTTCTGCATGAATTCTTTCAATCATTGTTCCTTGTTTCTCTGCCTCTCACTCTCTATATATCTAAATCTCTTTTTTCTAGAGCTTTTATTTTCATAATGGTTAATAAAATTTTCTGCTTTTACAATGTTGTGACACTTTACTATAATATTTAGTATTATAAAATTGAACATAAATTAATATTAAAATGTTGCTTTCTTTAAATAAGAGGATAATAGTTGGATCTTCACCTGTGAAGTACATAGCTCAACTTAATTTAGTGCTAAATTTTTATAATCCCTTCACCTAACAGTGCATAAAAGTCACCTTTTATAGTTGGCAAACATTGATTTAACTAGGTTGATGATTTATGAAAATGAACAATGCATGCACTCTTATGCAACAATTTTACTACAGCTGCACACTAAGCATCTAATGAAATAGTCATGTTTATACATTTTATTAGATTTATTTTTTCCTGAAAAATAGCCAGGATATTTATCCAAGCAAAGTGGCTATACCTTCAATGATCCAAAAATGTTTTTATGTAAAATAAGCTATCAAATACATATTTATAGAAGCTCAAATTACACAATTAAAAAATTATGAATGGTATATAACTAAAGAGAAAAGAAAACAGTTTTTTATTTCTTGTGAAATCTGATGCTCGTTTTACATATGAATAAAATCACCACCTAATTTATTCTGCTTTCAGGACTATGCTTTAAAATAGTATCTAGCTACATAAAAATGAGTCATTGAATTCTAAAACTGTCATGTGTTAAGAATACCGGCCGGGCGCGGTGGCTCAAGCCTGTAATCCCAGCACTTTGGGAGGCCGAGGAGGGTGGATCACGATGTCAGGAGATCGAGACCATCGTGGCTAACACGGTGAAACCCAGTCTCTACTAAAAGTACAAAAAAATTAGCTAGCGTGGTGGCGGGCGCCTGTAGTCCTAGCTACTCGGGAGGCTGAGGAGGGAGAATGGCGTGATCCCGGGAAGCGGAGCTGGCAGTGAGCCGAGATTGCGCCACTGCACTCCAGCCTGGGCGACAGAGCGAGACTCCGATTAAGAAAAAGAAAAAGAAAAAAGAATATTAAATCACTTTCTTAGTGTTACAGGTCTACTTGAGAGAAGATGCATCTGTAATACTTTTAAGTTTTCTTCTTAGAATACACATTAATTGTGCACTCAAGTGCACAGAAGGTTAGAAAAATGAGTACTCAGATATTTCTTTTGTATGCTGAAATGGACTGTGGAATTTGAAAAACTACCAAACAATTAAAATAACTTATCTTTTAATTCACTTTAATTTTAAGATGAAGAGTTATAAAATAAGAATAAGAGATATTTTCTATCACCAGTCCTCTTATTATAGTAAAAAGCATAAGTGTATATGAAATAATCAACTAACAATGTAATATATTGTATAATTAACAGGTAAAATTAGTGGTTTAGATTATAAACATTATATTACAAAGGATATTCCTGTTTAAAGGAAGAATAGCAGGCAGTGTAAGAAGGCTGACAATAGAATAAGCTACATTTTAAAAACATAAAATAAAGTTAAACGTGTAATATGACAGATTATACACTGACTTGAGAGAAACTAATGAGAAAAATTGACAGTTGATACATATATACTTGAAAGTTGTTTTTGAGGCATGCTAAGCTGAAAATTCAGTTGTAACTAGAATAATGTAGGTTGTTGCTTGCCCTGATTTAGACTTATATCTTCTGTTTAGAATGCATATAGCTTCTGCAAACTGTTTTTTTCTTTCTCCTAGATCCTATAAAAAGCAGCAGGGTAATTAATTTATCAATAATATCCAACCTGAATATCATTAGCTATATATGGCATTACCACTCTATATACCCAAAAAGGGGGATATGACCTTTATCCTAGGTCAGGTATCATGGGAGTCAACTCACTTACCTGAATCTATTCTTTCCAATTCTCCTGGTTATCCGGTTTTCCTCTGTCTTCCCTAAGGCTTTGAAACAGATGGGCAAGAAATCTGCGAATCATGATAGCTATTATTTGAGATCAATTACCTTCTGCTTGTCTTTTTTTGGATGGGTTAAATATTTTTATTTCTATCAAATCTACTTTGCATGTCTTAAATAGCATTTTTTAAATTATCTATCTTTTATTATTACCTGTAAATATTATTGAAAAAAAAGAGTACTAGTACATTGCATTTCAAGAAAAGCATTAGTGAGTAAATAAAAGTTAAATAAAAGTATAAATCTTATCTGAAAAGAAGTTATTGAATGGTGGATGGGTAAAAATTAAAGAGATTTAAAAAAATCCTCTGAGGTGTCTAGTGTGTACCTTCAGGAAAGTATTTTTTTTTCCTATTAAAAGGCAAATGAAAACTAGGAAGGGAAATTTCTATAAATGACTAATGAGAACTATGAAGCTGCATTCACATATTGAAATAGAATATATGCTAGTAATCCAAGACTAAATGTGCAATTGAAGATATATATTTGTACTTGAATGAGAAGTCAGAACCGTCCATTTGTGAATCATTATTTGATTGTAAGACACAAGGAACATTAAAGACAGTGCAGGACAGTGCAGGTTTCTGAAGACTTAAGATCTTCTTTCCTCTTCTAAACACGTAAAGGGGAAGGGCCCTTTGATCCTATAACCTTCCATTCCTACATCCAGAAGTGGAGAGTCTCACTAGGAAAGGGCTTCCTAAGGGGAGCACCAGCATTGGCTGGGTTGAAACACCTCCATCCACTAAGGAAAGGAGAGGAAATGTGGAGATCTAGGGAAAAGTATGTTCCAGTTTCATCTGTATTTATATAATTTGGAAATTGGACCAGAAAACACATTAGGATATTTTAAATTCAAAAGAGAGTGTGAATCTATTATCCATAAAATATTAGATAGTGTTCATAATTAGAATGCCAGAGAAAGTAAGAGAGTATTTGGAAAATTAAGCAGTTTTAGGATCTTTCATTTTCAGCTCCTAATTATATGCTGATGAGATGGATGTGTTTCAAGAAGAAAGGCAGCATCTACCATGTCAAATAACATGTAAGGACTAATCAGGATAGAACATGTTGACTAGTTTACTAGAAGGTTCTTTATAATCCTCATGAGCATGTTAATTCAGAGTGACAGAGTTGACTTTCTACTCTGCCTTAAACAGTGTGCTCCTAGGCAAGTAGCTCAACACTTTCGAAACTCAGTTTACCATTTAAAAACTGTGATGATATTAAGTATTCAAGTCTGAATCAAATTATAGTTGATATTTTTGAAGATTATTAAAGAGATTCAATTAAACCCTTTTCGATTACTATAAGTGTTTGCATTTCATTCTAAGGAATATAGAAAGATAATGGAGGGTCTTAAAAAGAACTGAGATAATAAATTGCTGTGTGAAGAACAGGTAAGAGTACAACAGCAAGAGCAGGAAGACAAGTGGTGAGGAATAGTGTAAATCTAGGTGAAAGATGATGTCAGTTGCTTGACACATGATGATTGCAATGGAGAAGATAAGGAGTAGTCATAATTTTAATAGATTTTGAAGACAAAACCAACAGGATTGGCTGCAAGAGTGGATGCTGTATTGTTGCCTAGATTGTGAAGTTTGACATTTGTACAATGAATGGCCAGCAGTGGAGGGAAAAGTTCTCCATTCTCCAAACCATGAGTGCTAGTGAAAGGCAAGAATACTTTGAGAAATGAAGGCCTTTACTTTTTTCTCCGTTTATTTTTGTTGTGAAAATGACACTTAAGACCTCTTATTTTTTAAATGCACAATACAGTATTATTAGCTAAAGCACAATGTTGCACAGGAGAGCTGCAGAACTTATTCATCTTATGTAATTGAAACTTTATACATACTAAATAGCAACTATCTATTTTCCCCTTCCCTAAGCCCCTGGGAACTACCATTCTAATCTCCACTTCTGTGAGATTGACTGTTTTAGATAGCTCATACAGGTGAATCATGCAGTATTTTTCCTTCGGTTACTGGTTCATTTCACTTAAGATACTGTCCTTCAGGTTCATCCATCTTTTCATAAATGGAAGAATTTCCTTTTTTTTTTGAAAGGCTGAATAATATTCTATGGTATGTATACCACATTTTTTATCCATTCATTTGCCAATGGACATTTAGGTTGCTTCCGTATATTGGCTATTATGTATAATTCTGCAATGACCTTGGGAGTCCAGATATCTTTTCAAGATCTGTTTCTACTTCTTTTGGATATAGATCCAAAAGTGGAATTTATGGCAATTTTATTTTTAGTTTTTTGAGAAACTACCACATTGTTTTTTATGATGGCTACACAATTTATTTCTAGCAACAGTGTACAACTGTACAGGGTTTCTACTTCTTCATATCCTCACCAACATTTACCTTTTTAAGTTTATATTAGTAATCCAAGTGTGTGCATTGATATCTCATTGTGGTTTTGATTTGTAGGTTTCTAATTTGCACAGGGGCTTCAGTGCCTGCTAAGCCCTTAGACAGGTAGACCCCTTCAGAATTGAATTGTCACCTTTTTTTGCTAATAAGCCCACTGCCTCATATGAACTAATTACAGGATGTGGTAATTGTTGTTAAAACATTGTTGAAGGTTTTCGGCTCAAGCACTTGTGAGAATTGTGGAAACACAACTGTAGACTGTGAAACATTCAGGTAGGACATAATTAAATTCTTCTGGAAACCAATGAGGATATTAGCCACTACTTGTTTGAACTCTTGATAACTAATCACATCCTCTTATTTACCAGTTTTTCCTATTTAATATCTACAATTGGAAGCATTGTTATATTTTTAGAGCTGTATTAGCAGGACATTTCTTCACCTTGACTGCCTGAAAATACTAGTTTTCCCATATTGATTAGAATAAAGATTTGTCCCTACGTCTATGGTTAATACAGAAAGGAAAGATCTTCACCAAGTACAATTGTTGGTGAAGACCATCACGTTGTTTAGTACCTTGTATTAGATATAATAGTGTTTTTTTTTTGGTAAATATCTTTCTCTGTACTATTAGCCAACAGAATTTCTATGGAGAAGCAGTAGAGGGTGTTCCAAAGAAGCACTATATATAATTGTTCTACAATCACTTCATTTGGAGTCTATACTCTTGTAGGTGGTAGTAATTACTCTTTTGGTAAACTAGTTGGCCCAGAAATAATTATTTCCAAACTTTTGAACTGAAACATGATTTGAAAAAGTTTAAAATGGTAATGTTTCACCTGTTTTTATTTCTATTTTCTCTGAATAGGATCTACAGATTTATCGTTACAAATTATAATTAAGTGTATTGGGAGTAATGTCTATAGAAGTATTTGATTTAATAAAAAAATTAAATTAAAATAAAATAGTTACAGCAGCAGGAAATTACTGAGTAGTTACGGCCTACTGACCTCTGCTTCAATTTTCTTCCCAAGGCATATAAAAATCAGCAAAGTTAAAAACTGACCTGCCGGGCGCAGTGGCTCACGCCTGTAATCCTGGCACTCTGGGAGGCCGAGGCGGGTGGATTTCCTGAGCTCAGGAGTTTGAGACTAGCCTGGGAAACATGGCGAAACCTTGCCTCTACTAAAAATACAAAAAACTAGCCGGGCATGGTGATGCGTGCCTGTAATCCCAGATACCCAGGAGACTGAGGCAGGAGAATCGCTTGGACCAAGACAGCGGCACCGCACTCCAACCTGGGAGATGGAGCAAGACTGTCAAAAAACAAAACAAAAAAAACCTACTAGAAGCAAGGCTGTGAGCAGAAAACTAAAAACTGAAACAGAAACCACAATTTTCCAAATGCTACTGTTACTTACAAAATAAGAAAGCATTATACTAAATCAATATCTAAGACACAAACTAAGTTCAAACTCAACAACAGTGTATTTAGATTTACATATATCAAGAAGACACCATTAATACAGTGAACTAACATTAACTCTATACAGAAGTATATTTTTGAAAATAAGAAAACTGCTTCTTTGAGTAACTTGTTTGGTTGACATATTCTGACAAATCTTGTAACCAAGGTAAGTCCTCCATATTCTGTAAGTATCTTTCACTGACTCCTCCATGCTCTACCTCATGGATCTCCTGGTTTTCATTCTCCACTGCTACAAAAAACCAATATATCCAACTTTGTTCAACTGCAGGTATGTTGCTAATGGTCTTTGTTTAGTGGGCTTTAGCAAGTATAGGTCCTACAGAAATTTGTCTGACACCCTCACTGCCATAGACAAGTACTTAGTTGCAGATGTAAATATGAGACTCCTTTAGTATTCATGTATTTAAAGCACCACTAGAAACTATTCCAAATGTCCATGAAGACTAGAATCGATAAATGTGTTGTGGCATATTTATATAATGCCATATCATATAATAATGATGATAGACAACTACAGCACATAGCAACATGGATGATTATCATAAACAATACTTAGAGAATCAGACACGCAAAAAATACATACTATATGATTACATTTCTAGAAAGTTTCTAAATAAGAAAAGTTCATCAATACTGCTAAGAGTCAAAATGGTGGTTACCACTGGTGGGAGAAATACCTGAAAGGGTGTTTTGGAGAGGCTCTCGATTCTTGTGAAGTTTTTGTTTGTTTGTTTGTTTGTTTTCTGTGTTCTGATTACATAGGTGTGTTTACTTTGGAGGAAAATTCTTAAAAAATAGATATTTAATTTGTATATTTTTATGCATGCCTCTTAAGATCTCAATAAAAGGTTAGGAAAATAAAACAAAAACCCAGAGTCCAAAATACTAAGTAACATATTTTCCCACAAGATCTACTCTACACAATGGGCTCTAGTAGATAAAAGTAGATAAAACAAGTTTTATATACTTTAAATAATAAAAATAGGTAAAACAAGTTTTCATTTGATTGTAGTCAAATGTTATTCATATTTAAAGAGCCAAACATGCTACTATAATAAAGTTGTATTTCACTAAATAAGAAAAATGTTATTTAGAAAATGGGAGTAGTCTCAAAACACTATAAAGATATGAATTTTATATTTTAATTAAGAAATACATGTTTCTATGCAAATATATACCTGTTAGATTAATGTTTATTTTCTGATTACATGTGCATGTATCAAGTGAGTTTCAGAAATCATTTGGCTTTGCTGAATTCACATTTCTCTTTTCCTTTTTACATCATTTTTTATCATTAAAAGCTCAGATAGGAATGAATATGTTGTCATAGTCCTTGCATACACCCATATGTCAAATACATGATTACCATTTGTGTGGAGTTCACAGATTTTAAAAAATACATCCTCAGACAATAACACATTTGGACTTACTCTGTGCTATCTTATGATCTTGTAAACTTCAAAGTTATCTGACCAGTCCAACAATAATCATTAGTTATTATAAGCTGAATATTTTTACCAGATATTTCACTTCAATAACTTTCTTATTTTGAATATTATGTTTTTAAAATTATCGATGTGATTAGAAGATTATCTCACCAAAGTAGATGCGGTTAGAGGTGTGCTCCATGAAACATACATCAAATTATGCACCAAATTAAACCTAGATCTAACATATTAGTAGAGGTGTCACAATGTAGTTACTATGTAGCCATTAAAATGAGGATTTTTGAGTTATTTGGTAATTGGCCATATTTTTGGCCATTTGCAACAGGAATCATTTGGAACTAAACAAAATGAAATAGCAATGGCTAAGAAATCTAGAACAATTAGCAAACATGATGTTAATAATACTGAGACACACATAAACTCTTTAAAGAAAGTAATAATAAATCAAATTAAATGAAGCAGTATTAACAAATGTGACAATAAAATTCTTCATTTTGTTGATTTATCAGCAGGAAAAGGTTTAAACATACAGCTGTTTTAGATCCTGCTCAAAACATTGTATAATAACCAAAAATATTTTTAAAGATATAGGTAAAATTTTTTCATAATGATAATTTAAAAAATGTCACAAGGCAAAGATGACCACTCTCATCACTTCTGTTCACAACAGTACTGGGAGTACCAACAAGGGCATTTAGACAAAGAAAAAGAAAAGGTATCCAAATCTGAAAAGAAAAAGTAAATTAATCTCTACTTGCAGATGATATGAGCCAAATTTATGTAGTAAGTTCCCGAAGACTTTACAAAAACTGTTAGACCTACTAGATAAATTTGGCAAAGCTGCAGAATATAAAACCAACATACAACAAACCCATGCCATTTTTATACACAAATAACAACTTAGCCAAAAGAGAAATCAAGATAACAGTCCCATTTATGACAGCACCAAAAAGTAAAATAAAATACTTAGGAATAAATTTAACCAAGGAGGTGAAAAGTCTGTGTGCTTAAAACTATTTAAAAATATTGGGCCAGGAGCGGTGGTTCACACCTGTAATCCCAGCACTTTGGGAGGCTGAGGTGGGTGGATCACCTGAGGTCAGCAGTTTGAGACGAGCCTGGTCAACATGGTGAAACCCTATCTCTACTAAAAATACAAAAAGAAGCTGGGCGTTTTGGTGGGTGCCTGTAATCCCAGCTACTCGGGAGGCTGAGGTAAGAGAATCAGTTGAAACCGGGAGGCAGAGGTTGCAGTGAGCCAAGATCACGCCATTGCACTCCAGCCTGGGCAACAAGAGCAAAACTTCGTCTAAAAAAAAAAAAAAAAAAGAAAGGAATAAAAGGAAAGAAAAAGAAATCAAAGAAGATACAAATAAATGGAAATATATTCTATGTTCATGGATCAGAAGAACTTTATAAGTTTCTTAAATTAACAATAAACATCATTAAGAGGATCATATAGAGTTTAAGTGCAAAGAAATATTTCCAGTTACATAGTCTTCTAGGTTGCTCTATGTACCGTAACAATTTCAAAATTATTTGCTATATTCTCATGATTTAGAAATGTTGATAGTTAATATGCATTGATTATATTGATTTTATGAATCAATTACATTTTATTTATCACACAGTGTGATAACATAGTAAAAATAATACGGTAAAATCCCAAAAATAAAACAAAAAGTGTTGTAATCACAAAAAAGGCTTGTCTGTGACAGAGTTATCAAGAGAAATGTTCCAGTTCATCACAGTAACACACTGCCTTTTAGCTTATACGCTGTTACAGAGATAAAACAAACAAACAAAAAATCCCAGTTACTTGGGACATTGAATAAGGAAGGTTCCTTGAACCCAGGAGTTCAAGGCTGCTATAAGCTATGATCACGCTACTGCACTCCAGCCTGAATGACAGAGTGAGAACTCATCTCTAATAAATAAAACAAGAAAACCATCCTCTGACTTTAATTATTGCTTAATTGACATTAATTTATACCAGTTTATTAAATCTCCCAGTTATCTCAAGATTTCACTTATTGGATGAAATGTTTTGTCTTCAATGAAAAATACCAATACTTCATAAGAGAGTTTTTTTATGTAGGATAATGTTTCTTGCTCATGGAAATCATCATCTGATCAAGAACTTAAATTTCAGTGGTTTGTCTTTCCTTGGTTTTCTGTTTCTTCTCTGTGAATAGTGATAAGGAAAACATATCCAAACAACATTGGCTCTTTATAACTGAAATTGATAAATCACTGTGCCCAAGTACGCCTGTCTGAGAAGTACTTTATTTTCCTCATACGTATCTTAACATTACTCCATAAATTATAGCTCATCAACATTTATTGAGCATCTACTGTATATCCACAGCCAGATTATGGGGGATACAGTTGACCAGTTGCCCAGCATACATTGTGCTTATTTATTAGGGCACCAAAACACTGTATCAGTCACAATTTTGCATTAACTTATTAAGTTTTGATTATAGAGTGAAATGGATAAGTTGAGTAGTAGGTAATTGTGTTAAAATTTAAAGTAATTAAATTAATTTTTCCTGTATATATCCTGTCTTCACAGACTAATGCTTATATACAATCTTTGTTAGCAATTTAAAAGTATATAATTTAAAAGTATATAACCAAAAATAATATAATGCTAACCTAAACCATTTGTTTAAAATTATTTAAATTTTTTTCTCCAGATATCTAAACCCATAAAATAAAGTCAAAAACATAATTTTGTGTGACATGAAAGAGTATTTAATGGTATATCTTAACATTATTAATCAAAACACTTAGGTCATTAGTATTTTCTCTCAGAGTAAAAAGTAAAGTAGTCTTTAAAAGATTCTTATGATGTAGAATCCCTCTACCACCCCCCTCTTCTTAATAATCTCTTCCCTGGTGAGTATGATCCAACCATATTGTACTCCAAGATGTTTTCCGAACTTATCAAGCATACTTCTGCTTCACAGCCTTTGAACTTGTAATTCTCTTTGCAGTTACCTGTGTGCTCTATTCCTTCACTTCTAATAACACTCTACTTAAATAACATCTCATCAGTGACCCCTTTCTTGACAGCTCTCAACTTATAAGTATTTAGATTGTTTCTAAAGACCAGGATTTTATATGTCTGTGTGTGTGTGTATGTGTGTGTGTGTGTGAATATTACTTTAGGATAGTTTTTTTGAGTGGAAATAAGTCAAAAGACAGAATTTTTAAAATTTGGTAAATATTAAATTGAAGTCCCTTAAGTTTATATATGCAGTGTTTAAAGGTGGCTGCCTATCTATAGTCAAACCCAATTGTACATGCCATCCATTTTTTTTGAGGTATTTGCAAAGATTAACCAACATGATATTTAGTTGTTTAACTTATAATTTCTTGTGAGTAACTAAGCTGAGGGTCTTTTTTAACTATTTTCTGATGTTTCTTTTGTGAATTGTCTGTTTAATAAAATTCTCCACTCTAAAATTAAAATCACAAAAATAATTCCAATGCTTTTTGTTAATTTTACATTTTTAGTAATTTTGTTTTTGGTGGGTTTTTTTTTGGTTGTTGTTGTTTGTTTTTAGATATGGGGGTCTCACTTTGTTGCCTAGGCTGGAGTGTAATGGTGATTCTGACAAATGATCATAGCACGCTACAACCTCTACATCCTGGGCTCAAGAGCTTCTCCTGCCTCAGCGTCCCAAGTAACTGGGACTACAGGTAAGTGCCACTGCACCTGAATATTTAATTTTACTTCTTTAAAATTAATGAACTACTGGATAAATTTAGAATTAATTTTTATGTTTAGAATGAGGAAGATTTCCAAACCTTTAGTTTTCAAATAGTAATTTGTCAAAATGTGACTGATTTAATTTTTTATTTTTTCCTCATATTGCCACTTCTATAGTAGACTAGATTTTTACATCTATTTGAATTGCTGTATGCATCATCCTATTTCCTTAAACAATTCCTATTTCAGTGCCAGTAACCAAAATTATCACTTTTTTATCTTATTATCTTTTTCTGTACTTTCTTTTATATGAGCTACTTAATATGATTTTCCATATTCTAAAAAGTTTGTAAGTAAATTGATCAGTATGAGAATTGACATATTTACAGTATTGACTTTTTCCTGTAGGGAATCATTTCACATTCTTTAACATACTTAAATCCTTTTAATTTGTTTAAACAAATAGAATTGTAAGGCTTTTCTGCTAAAGTTCTTATTATTTCTTGGAGGACTTTCTTGTGTGTGTAATTAATTTTATCATTTTTACTGCTATTATAACTAAGATTGTTTTCTTTTGTAAAATGCTGGAGATGATTATTGTTAATACAGAGAAAAGCTATTGTTATTTATATATAAATTCCTATAACTAGTCATACACACATTGTTATTGCATGCATTAATTTTTTCATTTGATTTTAGTATTGATTTTCCAACTACTAAATCGCATTATATAAAATGATGATAAATTTGTATCATTTCTATAATTTTTAATTGATTTCTTTCTGTTGAATGATTGAATTTACTAACTCCAGAAAAATATGTTAAATAATGTTAGTGATTTTGAACCTGCTTGTTTAAATTTGATTTAATACTGATTTATGCTTCTGTTTTTTCAATGTTTAGATTTCAGTTTAGGTTTATCCGTGGAAAGATGGAGGAATGAGAGCTAGAGAACAAGAGAGCAAGTGAGAGTAATGGAAAGTCCAAAGGAAAAAGATGGACAAGACGAATGAAGGGAAACAAGAAGGAAAAGAGAGAGGCAGAGGGAGAGGGAGACTTATTTGAGGATTTATTTTTTAATCAGTAGTTGATGTTGATTTTTTCAAATAATTCTTAAGTCTTTAGCTTTTTGTGTTATTAAAATTTTAAAATATAGAAAAATTTAATCTATTACTATGGTCTCAATCGATTTTCTAATAATTGTCTTTCGTACATTTGCATGTCCCATGATTTTTTACAAGTCAAATCCCATGACATCTGTCTGAGGTGGGGCAAAGTAAAAGTATTACGAAGGTTGCTATTATAAACTGTTCTGTAGATGATAACATCTTTGCTGAGCTATAAAAGCACACTCATGGGGTAAGAGGAGACAGAAGACAGTGTGATTTAAACAGCTAATTACTGGAAATAGTGAGATATCATATCAGATAAATAAGGTGATCATAAATGGATGTCGATCCCAGAGTGTGATGCAATTATGCTCTTTCCTGCCATCACCTCAGCACAAGAGAATAAAACTCTTAGTTTTATCTCTTAGACATGATTTGTACTAATAGCTGATAGGAGAAACCCCCAAATTAGTTTTCTCTTGAATATATTTGGATTTCTGCTGATCTTTAAGCTCTGAGGACTCCTTAAAATCTGGAAAAGAAGTGACACACCTTTATAAGTAGTGAACATTCTACCAAATGATATTTATGTAAGTGATCTATTGCTGCATAATATAGTAGAACAAACTCAGCAGCTAAAAACCAGCACACATGATTCTCTCATAGCTTCTCTGCATCAGAAATCCAGTTATGGCTTAACTGTATCCTCTGCTTCAGGGTCTATCACAAGGCTATCATGAGGAGATAGAACAGTACTGGGTTTTTATGCGAAATTAGACTTGAGAGACTCTTACCCCTTCCAAACTAACATGGTTGTTGGCAGGATTTAATTCCTGGCAGCTGGTAGGATTGAGAGACTTGGTTTCCTGCCAGCTGTTGGCTGAAGGCCTGAGTTCTTTGTCATTTGGACCCCTCGAATATAGCCCCTAGCTTCATCAAAGTGTGCAAGCAAAGGGAGTGGCCACAGCAGAGACGGAGTTAATTAGTAAGATAGAAGGTAAAATTGTATATCATGTTATCATGGAAGTAACGTTCTATCAATCACTGTGCCACATTCTGTTGGCTAAAAGCAAATTACAACTTCCTGTTTCAGCTCCAGCATGTAAAGAGCTTTGAAGTGATGGCTTGGTTCTTACACAAAGATACAAGAAAAATAAACCAAAATTTGACAACTATTTTTGTATCTGTCAGAGAAATGAAATTCAGAGAGGTGAAAATGTGATGAGACGGCAGAAAGATTTCACTAAGTATAAATTTCCACATAGTGTTAAAACTTTGAACCCAGTAAATATTAGTACAATAAAAATAAAATAATTATAGAGCCTGAAATAAATATATGCTAAAATTAAATAATAGAAAATCAAACCATAGACTAATATCGAATTGGTGACTTTTCTCCATGAAGAAATAACGTTAACAACTTTGGAATACAGTATACTGAAACTGACTGGGTGCCTTGCAGAGATATAGTCTCAAGAACAAGGGAATCTTGTAATTTAAATAGATACTTTTAATTCTGTTTGTTTCCAAAACCACAAGCTGGACTCTCCTCTTTTAAGAGGGTCTTTATTAAGTCATTTGGGTTCTGACACTGTGTTCTGGACCATGTTTCTGGTGTAAGTCTTCCACGTCTTGCTTATATGCTGACATCTCAGGTCAGACTTCCCCTGCAGGGAATCACCGTCTTCACTCTGCTTGAGTTGCAACACCTTGTGCAGGTTTACCTTCTTGCAGATATGACCATTTTTCCTCTGTGGTGCATGAGCCACTCTACATTTTCTCCTTAAGTTCACATGGACTAGCAATGAACAGAACCTTAAGAACTTTCCTAAATATACATTATCAGAATTGTGAAGAGCCCAGGCCTAAACAATTAGCCATCTTAGAAGATCAATTACCATAAAAAATGATAAAAAGCCTAAATATTATAATATTATAATTATTATAAAATCATAAAGGACAGGAAACAAACATGCTTGTGTAATGTTAACTTTGATTCCCCAAACTTTTAAAATTTACTTTAATTCTTTTTTAGTGAATAACAAAAAGATGTATTCAGACTGGTAGTAAATGTGTATGCAGCTGTGCACTTGCTCTCTTTCTCTCTCCCTATATGTATGCATATATATTATTCAAATGACCAACACTAAGCATAAAATCATTGTAAAGTAACATTTGCTAAATGAGAGTGCATCAAATTAAAAATAAGCATGTTTATTAAGAGATGTTTTATATCCAATCCTAAAAAAATTGGGATTCATTTGGTTCTTCTGTAAGTTTTGTTAAAAAAAATATGTAGGATATAAAATATATATATATTTTATAGAGATATAAAATATATGTAGGATATTAGTATACATAGGATATATTTTATAGGATATATAAAATATATGTAGGAACTTAAATATATGTGGAATATAAAATACCTCTGTATTTTTTTAGATTAACCTGAGATATTTGAATATGGAGCTAGAAGAGACGGTATGCTAATTATATGTATACCTCTCATTCAGTATACATGCTTATGTATAGTATTTAAGGAAATGGATTGCATACCCACAGTAATTCTAATTATTCTTATTTATATAATCACCATAGTTGATAGTTTTTTGAGGTCTCTATGCTAGGCACTGACACAAAGCTATTATTGGATTGTTTAATTTGAATCTTACTACTACTCCATTTGAGCTGATTGCATTTTCATTTTTATATATGAGAAAACCAAACCTTAGAACTCAAGATCTCACAGCTAGGAATAAAATAATGAAGCTAAAGGAAAACATTGTATGCGCCTAGAAACTTTGAATCACCACATGGTCCTGTCTCCCAATATCATCTCATGAATCCCATAATGGGAATCTCATTATTCCCATTCAGAATCAATAAAATGTTTATTTGTGTGTATTCAAATTGTTTAGATCAAAGTATAATAAAAGTATTATTTCTACTTTTATCAAAATGTATTTATTTAAATGGATTAATCCACTACTTTTACATATTAATGTCCTTAATGAAAAAATAAATGCATACATTTCTCACCCACTAATCTGTAATTTTAGAAGTTCAATAGACACTGATTTTTCCTGTAGAAAAACTAATATTAAATTGGTGCTGTACATATTAGACATCATAGTTTTCTCTACAAAAATTATTACAACAATTTACTCATGGTTTTGTAACATGCACTATTAGACATTTGGTGGTTGGAATGAAACTTAAATAACTTCTAAATAGGAACAAACAATATCAGAAATGAACAATGTCCAGTGAGTTTGTTATTATTTTTGAACATTTTTCTAGAAAGAATATAAACAATTACTTTCCCATCCTACAGATGTGGTACCCAGAATGTATAAAATGACTTTATAATTCTATAGTGTTCTTCTGCTATATTATTATAGCTAATCTCACTACTTAAATTTTATACCTTCACATATATTTTTAGACAGAATGAGGATAATTAATCATCCTAGAGTTATACTATTTAAAAGGAATGCAACATGTAGAATAACGTTTGATATTTAATCAAATTTAAATATAAGAGTCTCTGTGAGTAAACATTATTTATGTATTTAAAAATAAGTACTTCTAAAAATAAACTAAAAAGACACTCAGAGATAGGGAATGGGAGTTGACATAATGGTTTATTGAAGAGGAAGATATGATTATGTTGTCCCTTATGATAGGGACACCTATTATGGTAGGTTATAGATAGATAGATGGAAGGAAAGACAGATAGATAGATACATAGATTAAAAAGAACATTCTCAGTTCATGAGATACTTAAGTATGCCAGCCATGTTTACCCATTACAAGAGCATAACCAATTTTTTTACTTGACTTAGCATCAGACATCAGGTAAATGAGCTAAGATAGGAATAGATTACTTAAATCATAGGCCAGCCACTCTCTTTGAGGTTGCCTTACACTTGAACAGTGAAAGTCACCATGCTATTAACTAATTACTAGTTGTAGCCAGTGCAAACCACTGCCTACAAAAGAAATGCCTATAAACATAATATACAAAAGTATATAGTGAATAATTTATTAACAAATACTGTAAGCAAATTAGGACATTTAAAACATTTTTAAGAGGAAAACACAAGGCTCAAGAAATCCTGAATTAATTTTCTTCTTCACACAACATGCAGTTGCAAAAAGAACACCGAACTCTTCCCTACTATTTGATGCTTTATTTTTTTTCTTCAGGGTTTAAGCCTTAGGCATTCTGAATAAAAGATATATTAGGGAAAGATGGTACAGTAATTTACCTTTCAATTTTATTTTCTCATAAAATGTTACCCATATAAAAGAATTCCAGTTACTATCATCATATTCAGTATCTCAATCATTTTTAAGCTCAGTTTAAGGAGTAATCTATGATAGCACTTCTTTTGAACTAAATAGTTTTCCTAATCATCTTTCCAAATAACATACATTTAAAAATTCTTATATGTATTTGAAAAATTATTTTAACGAAAAAATGTGAATCAAACTCTCTTCTGTAAGTTTTAGTATTTATAATTTATATTATTGATATTTTGAAAAAAACACTTGTAAATTGAAGCTATTTTGTTCTTTGGACTTTACTGAAGGGTAGATGTAAAAAAATGTAAGTACTTTTGAGTAGTACAGATTATTAAAATGTGATTGATGAGGTTAATCTAGTAACAGTTCTCAATGATATTCCCTATATTTATAATTGAAAAACTATGCTAATTTTCCCACATCCTAATTTTTATGATGAAGTAATAACTATTCATTTATTCAAAAATATTTATTAAGTTTCTAAAATAGTCTGGAAACTAAATCAGTAGTGAAAAAATATACATATGCCCTCCTTCACAGCTCTAGGAATCTTTATCTTGCGAGCTAGAATCACACAAGAGGTTTACACAAAATTAAAAAAAAATTAATTCAAAACTTTGGGAGAGGTATTAAGTTTTCAGTGAGAATTTTTTTTATTATCTAAATAGTTCCCTACCAATATAGTGATATATATTTTTAAAGCACACTTACGGTCATTACATCATTTCAATATCAAAAAGTGCTATATACTAGACAAAATAAAGTACTATTAACTCTACATGAAGAAAGGAAAGGTGTGCTTCCTAGAGAGTAATATTTCACTGAACAAATATTAACTGATCAAACAGAAAAAAAAATTCTGAATTATTTTCCCCCTTCTCAGCAGTTTATCTAGATGGAGTGCCACCTTTCAAAAGTTGCTAGATAATGGTGTGCTCATTTAAAAATTGTCATTTAGGAATTAATTGCATGTAAGCTATTAGATAGTAATAAATGAAAATGATTGTATGTTTCAAATTGTGCTACCAATTACAAATAAATTGGAAACAAACCCTTCTAATTTTAAGAATATTTTATGTTAGAAAAGTTATATTATTTAGTATTTTTTCCCTAAAACCTTGATACAAAAGTAGCTCAAATTATATAAATCAGGGGGAAATAATTTTAAAATGTAGACTTTCCAGATGTAGGATATCCTCCAAAGAATTTTTTTTTCATGTAATTGCATTCAGTGTACTTTTAAAAAATAAAAATGACTGTGGTCATAGACTACATGAATTAGAGTTATTAACAGAACACCAATAAACAACTGAGCTGTGATACAACTTTGGAAAAAATAGTCATTCTTTGCATTTTCTGATTGCATAATTATCTTTAACCAGGGTAATATAAGGTTACCCAGGCCTATGTTTTTAATTAGTCAAAAAATTATGACCTTTAATTTTAATTAGTCAAAAAATTATGAACTTTAAGAGTATTCTGTTTATCATATTACCAACTTTAAGGGTCATTTCATGTAAAAAGTATTTCTTCATAGCTGTTACACTTTCATAAATTTTTAACTCAATTACTTACACATGGGTTTTGTGTATACCCAATATTTGGCATTTTGAATTTAAGATTGACTTTTTTTGAAACACCTGTCTTTATACCATTGTGTCAGATGTCATTATAAACCCATAATTTGATACATTACTTTATAAAAACAAACATAAGAAAGGTAAAAGCTTTCCAAGCTGACTGGTAAAGCACATTTTAAAATATGGCACAATTTTACAGAATGTATTGACCTGAATTCACAATTACACATTCCTATAATATATGTGACAATTTTATTAGAGTCTCACTTGTTGTTTATTTCAGAGTAACACAATTGTACCAACTGTATTTCATTACTGATCTTCAATCTTCACAAAGAAATACAAAGAGCACACTTGAAAATGAAGTAGCAGAATATTTTTATGTGTGTTGATATCAAGATTTCTAGATAAAACTATAATAAGTGGGCATGATGGTGTGTGCCTGTAGTTCCATCTATGTGGGAGGACTACTTGAGCCCAGGAGTTTAAACCTACTCTGGGAAACATGGTGAGATCCTCACCTCTAAAAATTTTTTTTCAAGTTTCTAGAAAAATGCTATATATTTACATACACACAAATCATCCACAAGAAATTATTTTTGTGCTTATTTTATAGTGTTAAGTTTCATCAAAGTTATGTTAGTATATAAACTTTGCAACAATTTACCATTTAATATGCTTTAAGAAGAATTGATAACCACTACTCCCACCCACCATGTGTTTGCTTTATTTTGTTCTTAAACATAAAAAATAAAAACAAATGGATCAAGAAAGCTATATATATTTTTCTGCTTTGATTTGATCAGTGGTTAGCAATAATATTTAACATAATGCTGATTTAAAGTCCTTTGCATTATTTATTTTAAATATAACATTCTTTTTATTTGTCAGACCTGAATTTATAGTTTCATAGGTGCCTAATACTATATGTAAACATTTTCCTGAGGCATTTTTATCTAAAATGTCTTAAATCCCCCTTTTGTCTATACTTACTCAAGTTACACTGATAGCGATTATAGTCACAAAACCTAATGAGGCATCTTAGTATTTTTATATACAAATTAATCATTTGAACTCATACTGCTAGAAGCATGCTATGCTATCTTCATGGGTTATAGGATAATTTGAATCTAATGACATGATAGCAGCAATTCTACATTTTTGAGTTTGGTTATATTTGAACATATATTAAAATATAGCCACATTCCTAAACTTTTGAAACTTCAGGTTTCCTATACATAATAAATGTACAATGTCAGAGCATAACAGTCAATATGCTTATTAAGAAGTTTCCTGTCACTTATAAGCAATTAGTTACATTTCATATTTTCTTAATGTGAAATATTATTACAGTAGAAACACCTTAATTACTTAACATTATATAATTCCTAGAAATTTTAGATCAACACCTTTCAAATATTTCCACAAATCAACTATCAGACCATCTGTACCACTACCAACCTGATATACTCCACTAGCAACTGTCACATGGGATGAAGGCATTAGCTTCCTACTTAACTACTCCCTTCTTTTTAGCTTGTCAGTACTTGGAATGATCCCATTAAAACCTTAAATGAATACTGTAACTTCAAAACCCTCCAATTCCTTCCTGTGCAGAGAAAAAGTCAAAATTCTTGTGACCTATGAAATGCTAACCTCCCCTTCATCAGATTTTGTTTTATCATGTAATCTTCTCCAAGAGGCATTCCTGTTTATAATTACAGCCCCTGACCTAACCTCCTGTCCCTGCAATACTCCCGATACACTTCCTCACTTCTTCAGCTATCTCTTTTCTTCTTTCATTTTTTTAATGTGGTAAAATACATATCATATAAAATTTACCATCTTAACGGTTTTAATTGTTCAGTTTGAATAGTTTAATGGTATTAAGTACATTCATATTGTTGTGCAACCATATACACACTCCATCTCCAGAGCTGTTTTCATCTTTCAAAGCTGAAACATTCTATACCCATTCAACAATAACTCTCCATTTTCCCTCCCCACATCTGCTAGCAACCACTATTCTACTTTCTACCTTATAATTTTGACAACTCTAGATATTTTGTGTATATGGAATCATACAGTATTTGTCTTATTGTGATAGGATTATTTTACTTATCACAATGTTCTCAAGATTAATCCATGTTTTAATACGTGCCATAATATTCTTCCTTTTTTTCATTTCTTTTTTTTTTTTTTTTTTTTTTTGAAGCAGAGTCTTGCTCTGTCTCCAGACTGGAGTGCAGTGGCACAATCACCTCCCAATCACCTCCCGAGTAGCTGGGACTGCAGGTGTGCACCACCACGCCCAGCAAATTTTTGTATTTTTAGTAGAGACGGGGTTTCACCATGTTGGCCAGGATGGTCTCCATCTCTTGACCTCGTGATCTGCCTGCCTCGGCCTCCCAAATGCTGGGATTATAGGCGTGAGCCACCATGCCTGGCCTGCCCTTCCTTTTTAAGGCTGAATTGTATTCTACTATATGGATATACTATATTGGCCTATCCATTCGTTCATCTCTAAACACTTGGGTTACTTCCACATTTTAGCTCTTGTGAATAATGTTGTGATGTGCATGGGTGTACAAATATCTTTTCAGGACCCTGCTTCTAATTCTTTTGGGTATATACCTGGAAGTGGAATTCTCATTTAATCATCCCCATCATTCTCTTCTTTCCAACTGACTTTAGAAACATAGTTACCACAATTATATGCCCAGTATCATTCCTAGAATTGTTTCCTTGTTCTTTCTTTGATGCAAGCATACTTGCCAGATTGCTATTTATTAATCATTGCAAAAGACACACTTTTGGTTCTATTGATCATTTCTCTTGTTTCCTTTTTATGTTTTAAGCAGTTAACTAAAATTGCTTTCAATTCTTTTTACTTATCTAGATATCTATATTTGCTTTAGCTTTTTTCGCAGCTTCTGCTTGAAACTTTAATTTATTTTTAATCATTTTGTTTCCTAATAATTGCCTTTACATTTTTTTCTGAGGGATACTCTATCTGTATCCTTAAAATGTTAAGGTGTACTTTTGGAAATTTAGTTGAAAATATATCATAACATTCAGTGTAATATTGTGATTTCTCTTTTCACTGATACTTTATCAAATGACATGTTTTTATTTTCCAAATATATGGTAATATTAGCTATTTTTCTGTTTTTATCATTTACATTTTATTTTGCCAAATTCTGAGAACATGTTTTATATCAATCCTTTGAAATTTGTTTTACTTCTTTGTGGTCTAATATCCTGTCAGTATTTACATAAATTTTCTATATGGCTTTAAAATAATATGCAAATTCTGTTATGTGGAAATAAGATTACATTTATTATTATTCATTTTGTAGGTTTTGACCCAATACATTTTGAACTAATTTCGCTATTCACACATTGGACTGTTTGTTCATTTTCAAATTTCCCTTTTTATAACTTGTATGCTTTTCTCCTGAAATACTATTTTGTCAAATACACGTGCTAATATAGCAGTCCTAATTTTGTTACGTATCTTTTAGATTTCCTTTTTGGTATTTTCTTCCTTTTTATTGTATTTCTAATTTCATTTTAAATAATTCAGAGATAGCAATATTTACTTATATTGCAATATTCTCCTTGTTTCAGGGTTTAGATGTCAAACTTTGGCTTGCAACTTTTTTAAGCAAGGTTCTCAATTTAATTTTTAATGCAGGACCTTTTTCAAAATATATTGAATTCTATGGATTCACTTCTGGGAGGGAATCTCATAATTCCTATACTTTGACAATGTGCAGTTCGAGGGACTTTTTGAGTGAGCTCACAGACCCCATGAACCTCTGGTGTACTGTTAAATTCTAAACAAAAATATTAATAATTTATGTATGACTGAAGGAAGACAATACAATTCAATAATATCACATTTATTTTAAAAAGAAAGTGAAAAATAACAGTTTATAATACATTACTATATATTAAAAGTATATTTTTTCATAATTGAGACTATGAGATTACTATCACAATATTCTATGTGATCATGCAACAAAAAAGTAATTTTAATTCATTACTGTATTATGTATATATTTTGTCACCCTAAATATCCTTTTCGCTAAACATATTGTTGCCTAAACTCCTCCTGATAGAACACTTGTCTGATTCATAGTTCATCAGCAATAAAACTTTGGACCCTGTGAGTAAAAGTTACATAATTTTGAGCCTATCTTTTCTGAAACCAAACATACCATAAACCATCCAGCATTCTTGAGAAGAAACAGCTATACCATGGAGGAAGTAGGCAATCATAGCAGGCATTTTAAGTCAGAAGTCAAAAGTAGTAATTGTATCAAATGTCGAGGAATACTTTCACAATATCAGACAAGTGTGTGTTAGTGGAAAATGCAAATTATGACTAAAATTGAGATAGTTTATTAATTTATAATTAAAATATTTATTTTATTTATTATTAATTTTTAATTAAAATGATTTTGTTTTAAAATTAAAAAATAAAAGAACAAAGATATGCTCAAGTCAGATGAACAGTAGACTTGATCACTGGAAAAATACTGAGTTTATGTTATTGACTTAATAAAGTTGAAGCATTCTTTCCTAACAAAGTTCAAACAATATCCTATATCTCAAAGTAAGATGGATATAGCAACAGGCACCAAGCTGCCTGGCTTCCAACCTATTCCCTTAAGATAATATTGATTTAACTGCTGGCATGTAATATAAATATTTAGGGTAATGCTAACTTTTCATTTTATATATATATATATGCATGCAGTTTTATAAGTGTTGATTATATTAAACTTTTAAAATTGAACAAGAATCATATATATTTCCTTTACTTTATTCAACTTCTTAAGAGAGTGCTATAATAAAATAAGCATTTAATAAATGTTGTTGATTTTATTTTGTTTAATAATAATGATGAAAAGAAAATACAAATAACCAGGTACTTGCTAGAGGAAAATGTTTCTTATATATTAAAATTATCCACTTAGATGGAATCTTGTTCTATTAATTAAAGTAAGATGTATCCTCCATGATTGTAGTCTTTTGTGAAAGATTTTATGAACATGTATTCCCAAAATTAAATTATTGAACATGTCAAAAATCACTGTAATAAAAATCAAAACAAAATCAGAATACTTCACTGAACAATGCTGACTTATTTTTATAGTTTTGAAAGATACTACCTTTTATATGTTTAGTGAAAAAATTAAGAATAAATTTTAACATGATTAATTGAAAGATTTATTGACATGATTAATTAGTAGAAATATTCTTCTATTGCAACAGAGAAAGAGAGCTTGAGCAAAGATAATCCATCTTTGAAGTTCCTTTGACAAATAATTTTATCTCTACCTTAATCATTGATTTTGTAATTTTTCAGAACTCTCTTCATTTGAATTATTGCTTGACCTACATTTCAGCTCACCTACCATTCTTACTATATTATTTTACATAAATTATAAAGACAAAATGCTAAATTGTGAGTTATAAATTCTCATTAATAAATGAGAATAAATCTATTTAAACTTAAGTCTTTGGAGTAAGTTTAAGCATATGTACCTGACACCATTTATACTGGCATGAAATCTAGAATTTCAATCATTTTTCAGTAATTATCTTCTTTGCTTCTCACATCTTATGACAGTTCATGGAAGCACCATAACAGAAGGGTAAAATAATATGGTAAATAGAAACACTTTATATTAACTTTAACTTTGTATACTCTTGAAAATTTCAAATGTTTCATGGAAAGAAAGAACCTTTTGTTAGCCACATAAATGCTGTTTGTGGCTTTTAAGGCTTTCTATAAACAATGCTATGCCTTTCATTTTACAATATATTAGCACAAGAAAATTATGCAAACTTCCCTGTGACTAAAATGTATGCTCAGTATATAAAGAAACTCAAATTGATTCTACTTATGGCAAAGCTTTTTTTCCTTCAATACTCAATAGGCTTTTAAAATAAACATGCTTAATCTTGTTTCCTGCCATCCAGAATAGTAGTATACATATTCTTTGGTACTGAAAGTTAAAGTGTTAACATTGACACTTTAGGAAACAGACACATTATACTCTCATGCATTTAGAAATTCTTTACAAGAATTCAAACGATTTAGAGAGGTTAGTTGTGTTTTATTCTAATGGCTTATGTACTGCCATCAGAATATAATAGAATTTAATGCTACCAGGAATAACTGAAATCAATTAGACCATTCCCATCTTTTTATAATATGGAAGGAGAGTCTTAGAATGCACATCATCCATTTATAATACACTTTCACTTTTCTACAATTTTACTTTTAATATGGCGAGAAGCTGTGTATTTTTTCATAACATTGTTTCCAACTATTAACTCTTAGTTTGAATACAGCATAAACTGAAATAAGAGATGCTTAATTAATGCTATATTTTGTGTATAGTCAGGATAGAAAAAGACTGCCTGGGCCTGGTGCGGTGACTCATGCCTGTAATCCCAGCACTTTGGGAGGCAGAGGTGGGTGGATCCCCTGAGGTCAGCAATTCAAAACCAGCCCGGCTAACATGGTGAAACCCCCGTCTCTACTAAAAATACAAAAAGTAGCCAGGCATGGTGATGGGCACCTGTAATCCCAGCTACTCGGGAGGCTGAGGCAGGAGAACCACTTAAACCCAGGAGGCGGAGGTTGCAGTGAGCCTAGATTGTGCCACTGCACTCCAGCCTGGGCAACAGAGCGAGATTCCATAAAAAAAAAAAAACATGAACAAACAAACAAAAAAAAAACAGAAAAAGACTGCATGTAAAGAAATAAATAAAAGTAAAAGCACAATGGACTTTACTGGTCACTTTGTTCATGCTAGGCACTCTACTAATACATTCTGATTCTGATTACATCTCTTCACCAGCTCTTTGGGGTTTTATCCAAAACCTTATGAGTTATAATATTATTTTTTCTATTTCACATGAGGATATTGAGATAAAATGTGGTGTCTTTTAAAAGGAGAAATTTAATAAGAATCAGCACAGGGGAAGATATAATTGATTAAATTACCCCAAATCCACTGTTCAAATGTGTATCACTTAAAAAAAAAAATCTAATTTCTTTAACAAAAAGCTTGTCAAATCCCATTAACTTTTACCTCTATCTCTCTTAACTTTCTCTTTATTACATTTGCAGTTGTTTTAATATTTTGACCCTCATTTTGTTTAACTTAGAAAAAACTGGAATGCTGATATTACTTTGAATCTATTTTCCTCTCTTTCTGTCAATGTGTATATTACATTTACTATCTGATATTATCTGTAAACAATTGATCTAGTTATGTAACTTTTTCTTTATAAACCGTTATTGAGTTTCTTATACATACATGCTAAAATAAAAACAAATTAATCTGTATTCAAAAACATCCACAATCTCCATCAACAACTTCAAACCTACTTCCATGGAGTCCCTTCGTAAACTCTACACTATTATCATATGATGCTATTCAATTTTTCATTACTCCTACTTGACTCATTGATTTCCTACATATTTGCCATATTTTATTTTTCTTTTCTGTGAATAAGAAAAAGTTATAGAAATAAGTATAAGGAAAAGTTCCTCATTTCTATTTTCAATTTCTATTCAACTAGCACAAATAAGTATTACTTCTTCTACATAATATTTTGTGATAATCCAAGCTGGAAGTAATAATATAAAAGTCATTTATATTATAAAAAATTAAATGATCAAAGTATAATAAAACTAGCGCAAAAGAAAATATTAAAATAATATAATTAGATTAAATTGAGATCAAATTTCCTTAACAACAAACTTAGGAAAAATATAACTCAGACATCAAAAATATCACTTTACCTGTGAGTAGAAGAGTATGTGTGTGTATATATATATATATATATATATATATATATACAAAATATATATATTATATATTTTGTATATATATAACATATACATGTTGTGTGTATATATACATAGCACTGTTTATTAGATGAGGAAAAGGTTTAAGATTATCAAGAAGACTGCAGCCAAATTATCAAAGATTAGTTTAATAAAAAAAAAGGATGTAAAATGTGGTGAGAACACAATGAGAGGTTGGTTTATACAAAATCAAAATTACTACCTAATGAATGGAAAATAAAATACTGAAAAAGAGAATTATTTTCCTTGAAGAATGTATTGATATTATTTTCTGAAATATCTCACTTTATTATTCCAAAATAATTTGACTATCTACACAAAACATATCCTAGTTATGTATTTAGAAAATAGAAACACTCTGTTATCCAGGCCTAAAATTTCCGTTTCCTATGAGGTTTAGGTGTGGGCTAGGTTAGAGTGGGAGTGAGGGTAGTGGCTGCTGGATGAAGTTACACTGTCAGTATCCAGTTGCTTAGGATAACAGAAATGTCCTAAAACAGTCTTAGGTAATGGAAATATGATTTATGATATTTATCTACAGCTACCTAGTGATTCAAATATAGAGAATATGCAGCTATTTATGAACATGAAAAATACATACATAGCCTTACTCAGGGAGAAAATATTGCAGAATAGAATTAACAAAACCAAGAAATAAATGTGGCAGCTATGTGTCACAATGGCTGTTTTGCAATATCACTAGTGGAAAAATTGAACATGTGTATGCAAAAATGTGGTATCAAGTATTATAAGAATATGGAAAAAATATGATATCAAATATGATAAAGTTCTGAATGCAAAAATGACCAAACATTATGAAATAATTATAGTAGATAGGAGAAGGTATAGGTGTATTAATTTCCTTAATTATATAAGGTGGAAATGTATAAAAAATTAAGTATGCAAATAAGTTAAATTTTATTTCAAAGTTTTATGAAACATTATATAAAATTATTTGAATATTTTAAATTAATAATATAAATAACCTAAATCAAGAGAGGAAGCATGAATAATAACAATGGGAAAAATATGTGTTCCTTCCCTCATTTTTTTATATCAGTGTTTCTATCAGCACTGTCTGACATTAATCAAGAAATAGAGGTTTAAATATATTCCAAAAGTATATGAAGTAATCTTATGGAACAATCAAAAGATTATAAACACCACAATAAATAGAAAGCACATACATGTATATAAATGGAAATATAAAACTAACAAACAAAAAACCAATAACCAAAACAGTTCATGAAAAAATATCACGAGGACAGAATTTTTTTTCTTCTTTTTTTTTGAGACAGAGTCTCACTCTGTCGCCCAGGCTGGAGTGCAAGAGTGCAGTGGCATGATGTCGGCTCACTGCAACCTCTGCACTCCGAGTTCAAGCGATTCTCCTGCCTCGGCCTGGAATTACAGGCGCATGCAACAGTGACCAGCTAATTTTTTGTATTTTTAGTAGAGATGGGGTTTCACCATCTTGGCCAGGCTGGTCTTGAACCCCTGACATAATGATCCACCTGCCTCGGCCTCCAAAAGTTCTGGGATTACAGGCGTGAGCCACTACGCCATGCAGAGGACAGAATAATTTTTAAAGCTATTTATTCCAGTTACTAATGCATAAAAAAATTACTTCAAATGTCTATGTAAGAAAGTGATACTACATTTACTAAGCTGAAGGTCAGAAATTCAGATGGTACAGTAGGGGTGGTTTTCTCTGCTGCATTACCTACTCCTTTGTACAAACCAAAGACTGGGAGCTGACATGCGAACACTAGCTCACTCACATGCTCAGAGGTTGATACGGAATTTATTTGGGGTGGTTAAGCAGAACACCTACGTTTGTCGCTTCAGGTTTCTGAGTTTGCTCACAAGATGGCCAACATCCCTTGAAGGGCTTGGAATCCCACCACATTCTCTTCAATAGTAGCAAGTCACTAAGCCCAGCCCACACTCAAGGGGAGGAGAAGTCCCTACCTCCCCATGGAGGAGTGTCAATATCACATAGTAAGAAGGAGTGGCTGGCCGGGCGCGGTGGCTCACGCCTGTAATCCCAGCACTTTGGGAGGCCGAGGCGGGTGGATCACGAGGTCAGGAGATCGAGACCATCCTGGCTAACACGGTGAAATCCTGTCTCTACTAAAAATACAAAAAATTAGCAGGGCATGGTGGCGGGTGCCTGTAGTCCCAGCTACTCGGGAGGCTGAGGCAGGAGAATGGCGTGAACCCGGGAGGTGGAGGTTGCAGTGAGCTGAGACTGCGCCAGTGCACTCTGGCCTAGGCGAAAGAGCGAGACTCTGTCTCAAAAAAAAAAAAAAAAAAAAAAAAAAAAAAAACCGCTAGAAAAATACTTGCAATTTTCAAACTATTTCACATTCAATTCGAGACCTAAGTTGAGTGTGGCACTTTTTATTATGATACTGCATATCACTTTATAATGCTTGATTGTATGAACTAAAATTTTAACTTATTCATACTTTTCACTAAGTACCTTCTATTCTGCGTTCTGTTTAGTAACAGGCACTCAGTGGGTGTTTAATAAGGATTAATTGGTGTCAGTGACAATAATGACTCTATTATCTTCTGGAATATTGATACCATTAAGAGTGTGATGAGTAAATGAGTCTAACTTTATTTATGATATTTAACAATGGCCAGGCTGATTAAATATGAAACAGGCTTTTCAAGTGAATAAAAGTGGAAACATTTGCATATAAAGCAGTAATTACTATACTGTATTACAATCTTAGCAGATTGGAATTGCAATTATTCAAAGCAATGCTTGGTGACAGATATTTGGTAGGTAAGGACTGGGACCTAGTTAGGTAAATCTATTTATGCAAGGTATAATCACGTGTCAGAAAAGTGAATATGGTGTCTCAGTTCATTTAGGCTACTATAACAAAATAACATAGACTGGGTAGCTTATAAACAACAGAAATTTATTTTTCATAATTTTGGAAGCTGGAAAGTCCAAAACCAACGTGCCAGCAGATTCACTGTCTGGTAAGGACCCCAGTTATTGGTTAATAGATAGTACCTTCTTGCTGTTTTCTCACATAGCAGAAGGGGCAAGCGGTCTCTCTCTGAAGCCCCTTTTATTAAGGCTTTTATAATTCCGTATATGAAGGCACTGTCCTCATGATCTAATTACCGCACAAAAACACTACTCCTAATCTAATCACTTGCGATTAGGTTTCAACATGCAAATTTTGTGGATGCAATCTTTCAGACTATGATATGTGGTTAAAAAAAAAAAGGATGGAAATCGAAATTTGCTTTAAGACTCAACTCTATGATTTTTAACTTCAAGATATGGATCATATTATTTATGTTTCAGACATCTTTATTTACTTATAAATAATGGAAATAATCATATCTAGCCTCACAAATTTATCTCTATGACCAAATATTAAATATTATAGTAAAGATATTTAATATTAAAGATTTTAGTTCAAAGAGAAAATTGTTTCTAGAAGGAAAAAATAAATGAATAGATAGCAAAGACTACTGTGCAAGATCTTGCTCACATCATCTTGCAAGAATATATTATTTCCAGGACTTTTGCTAAGCAATTGTTAAAGCATCTGGAGCTTAAAATTGGCCATGTTGTGCGTATTTACACCAATAATGTCAGAAAATCTTATAATTCAGAGTTTCTCTCCACCCCCACCCCAAACAACAGCTATCACTAAGAGGAAATAAACTGATTCATTCATATAAGTGACCACTGAATATAATAACAAAAATAATTAATACTTTAGAGGTTGAAACATAAGGTGAAATTCAAACACTAGACAAGAAAAAAAAAAGTTGAAATGTTGTCAGTGCTAAGGCTTTGTAGTTTCCATGAATTCATTGGGAGGATGGTAGGAATAATGGCAAATGAAAAATAATACAAAGAAACCAATAGAAAATAACAATATAATAAAAAGAACAGAATGATAGCTGTCTATGAAAAGCAAAAGCAGACAAGAGAAAAAACAAAGGCATAAATAAATAATATAAGAGTAAAAATGGGCATAAGTAAAAGCACAAAGGACTTTAGATGAAAACTGTATGCTATACAATGGAAACAAATGGAAAACAAAATTGTTGATTTTATAGAAAAACATTTATCAAAGTGGGGATAATAAGTAGAAAATTGCAAAATAAATGTAACTATAAAAGTAACTAAATGTATTAGAAAAACTTACAGAAAACTGGCTAAAATATCTTACATGGCAGATTTCCAAACATTCAAAGAATTACTATTGGAAAAGAAAATCTGGGAATAGAAAGATAGAAGATTTTCTTCAATTTTGGGGGAGATTCTGTATAACCTTGCAACAAAACCAGCTTTAAAATGTATGAAATAGAAATTTTAAGCTGATCTCACAGATAATTACCTACCTCTATGTCTCATATACATTGCAAAGCAAATCTAGCAAAGGCATTCAATATGTTTTTAAAAGACTTTTAGCAAACTAGAAGTGGAAGAGAATTCCTCAACTTGTTAAAATCTCAAAAGAACAATGGATTATTGCAGAAAACACATATTAAAAATTCCTGTAAGAGCCAAAAATTGGCAAAAGGGGAAATTCAAATTGCCAATACATATAAGAACTTATTATTAACATCACTAATAAAAAGCTATGTACAAATTTCAATCATGATAAAATATCATTTATACTCATCCAGTTGAAAAAAATATAGAAAAGTCTGGCAAATCAATTGAACTCCAGGAGATATATTCACATTTTAACAATAAAGCATATATATGTTTATTCATTGTAATGAAGAGAAGGCAAACAACAGTAAAAAATCAATTAAAAGAAGAATAGATTTATGGTTACATGAATAAAATGGGACAGCATATAGGAATGAAAACAAATCAAGGAGAGCCACATGTATCAAGGAAGATATGTATGTTTGTACACCATCAAAAACATGAATTTTACTCTAGATCTTAAAATATAATTATAAATGATAAACACAATCTCTGAGATTAAGTTAACAATTTCTAATAAAATAACAATCAATGTCTAATAAACCAAATGTTGACAGTTTTACATCATGATCCTGAAATACTTGATAATTCCACTCCCTTCAACATATATAAGTTGCTCAAAGAGTATGCAATGGTATAATTTAACTTTCAAAAGTCAAAATATAGCTTAAGTTTTTTTTTTATTTTCTATGAGAAAAATGTGGTTCCGTCCATCTCTGAGGAGAAAAGTTACTGAAGTGAATGAATTTCTCTAGTATTAAATTTTTCTACTGAAAAAAAAAAAACACAAAACATGACCCATGAGCCATGTAAAGACATGGAAGAGCCATGGGATATATTGTTAAGTGAAGAAGAAAAAAGCCAATTTGAAAAGACTACATACTATATTATTTAATCTACATGACATCCTGGAAATAGAAAAAAACAAACAGAAAATGAAAAGATCACTAATTTCCAGGGGTTCTGGGGCAAGGAGGAGCAGGATGAATAGATAGGCCATATGGGAGTTTTGAGGAAATGAAATTATTCTGCATGATACGATGGATACATGAAGTTATGCATTGTCAAAACCCATAGAACTGCACAATAAAAAGAGAGAATTCTGAAGTAACCTGACAACTTAGTGAATAACAATGTGTTATTCACTGGATTCTTCAATTGTAAAAAATGTACCACATTCATGCAAGATGTTCAAACTAGAAGAAATTGTGTGTGAGACATAGGCAAGAGGTATATGGGAATAAGGGTAACTCTGCACTTTGTTCAGTATTTCCATAAGCCTAAATTGCTGTAACAATCTATTAAATTTTTAAAATCACAAACATAAAATATATTCTAAAGGGTAGAGAAATGGACTGTTTTTATGGAAAACCATTTAATGGGAATTGGCATTAAAGAGATGGACATGTACTAAAATATTAATACTTATTTTTATAATTTTATTAGCAGATATCAGTAAATACTATTTACCTTCATGAATATTTTGGGTAGTCTTTAAATAATATCCAGATGGAATGTATCTGAAGATGCTTTGGAATAAAATATACAATTTCAACATTGAAAAAAATATAATAAAATATCTGAAAAGGATATGCCTGAGCTGTAGATGAAGAATAAACCCACGCTTATTATTTATGCACACCTAAAACTCTATCACATCAACTAAAAAATGAGCAAGATATAGATATTTATAGATACTGTGCAGATGGCTTTCACATTCATTTTAAGATCATTTCATTCAATGTGTTCACTTTCTATCTTGTACTCCTTTCTATCTTGCTCCTTAAAGCCTTTTGAAATGTGACTATTTTTGTTTCTTCTAAAAACCTGTGTCTATCTTTTCAGTACTAGGGTTTTTCCTTTATCACCTCTAAATCCTGAACTAATTTTCTATTTTTATGTAGATACTATATATATATGTATATATAATATATATAAAGTTTCACACACACATATACTGTTTGAATGACCTAAAAATAAATGAGAATTTATAAAGGCTCTGTTTTGTCTTCATGCACCAATTGTCTCATGTCTAGTGTTATCACTTTTTTATTTTTTAGTGAGTCCTTCTCCTCTATTTCTTTCCCTCCACATGCAGCATATTTCTCTCTTTTTAGACCCTTTCTAAAGTCAATTGTTTAGCCATTTTCTTACTATCATGTTCACTGATTGCATTACATATGTATTCTATATATATTTGCTTGTCGCTAATCATTTAAAAGCCTGCATTAGCCTTTCATTGTACATTGCTTTTCAAATTAGAATAGAAGCATCACCATTTTCCATTTGCTGCCTTTCAATAGCACAGCATTTATTGTTGAAGTTAACAAGCAATATAAAATTAATAAAGATTTTATTTCTTCTTTTAATGATTTGCTTTAGGTTTTCCCTAGAAAATCTCTCCTAAAGCGCTATATACTGACAAATAATGAAGTAATTATTTTATTCATATAATTGTCATATTTAGATACATATAGCAATACAGAATAGTGGTTAAGAATGACTACAATGTAGTCCTTCAAAAAAGAAAAAAAAACTACAATAAAACCAGAGCTTTTGAGTTAATGTCTGCCTCTGCCACTTTCTCCTGCTTCCTCAGTCAAGTTACTTGCCTTAGTTTGCTTCAGTTTCCCTATAACAGGAGCAAAAAGCAGTATTTACATTTTGAGATATAAAATAAAAATAAAAATTAGGTTTATATATTTTTTTAAATTTTATTATTATTATTATTTTTACTTTAAGTTCTGGGATACATGTGCAGAAGGTGCAGATTTGTTACATAGGAATACATGTGCCATGGTGGTTTGCTGCACCTATCAACACGTCATCTAGGTTTTAAGCCCTGCATGCATTAGGTATTTATCCTAATGCTCTCCCTCCCCTTGCCCCCCACCCCCAAGAGGGCCTGGTGTGTGATGTTCCCCTCCCTGTGTCCATGTGTTGTCATTGTTCAACTCCCATTTATGAGTGAGAACATGCAGTATTTTATTTTCTGTTCCTGTGTTAGTTTGCTGAGAATGATGGCTTCCAGCTTCATCCATGTCCCTGCAAAGGACATGAATTCATTCCTTTTTGTGGCTGCATAGTATTCCATGGCCTTATATGTGCCACATTTTCTTTATACAGTCTATCATTGATGGGTATTTGGGTTGGTTCCAAGTCTTTACTATAGTAAATAGTGCTTCAATAAAGTGCTTAGCATATTACCTATCATTGTAAAATTGTTCAATACATGTCTATTTTAAATCTATAGCTATGATTATTATCAAATTCATACTTTATGTAACACAGTATATTGCTTCCTGTAGTATGTAATATTCTCATTTGTTTTGCAGTATCCAGTTCAGGAGCTTTGATGATTTTTGTGCCCCTCTTTCCCATGAATATTTTGAGAAACACTAGTGAAACACATCCAGAATTAAACTACCCAGGAATGTTGACTTCTGAGCAAGTAGTTTAGCCTTCATTGAAAACTATGAATTGTTGATTCAAGTTTATTGAGCTAATGCAATGTTCTAAACCTGTGAAGACTAAATTTAGCTTCAAACAATATGTGAAGTGTGTATTACCTTTTTCTTTGCCAAACAATTAAAATCTGTATGTAGTGAAGCCAGATTTGAGCTTTTAGAGGCCTGATCTTCCAGGCTGTAAGCCATCCATGACACTCTTATGAAAATAAGCATACAAATTCTAAAACTGTAAATCCTTGCAACATAGCCATGCTAGAAATATAGAAATAATTGTTTATTTATTTTTATTTATTGACCTTGATCATTAAAGACTTTATTCTTAATTCACTAAGTAACAAAATAATAACATTTCTAATCCCCTGGTCTAATTTAGAACTGTGTCATCATCTTTTTTTTTTTTTTTTTTTGATCCAGGTTCTCACTGTGTCACCCAGGCTGGAGTGCAGTGACATGATCATAGCTAATGGTACATCTTGAATTTCTGGAGTCCAGAGATCCTTCCCTCTCAGTCTCCTAAGTAGCTAGGACTATAGGCGTACACTACCTTGCCCCGCTTTCTTTGCTTTGGTAGACAGGGCTTCAACACATTGCTGTTTAACTACATTGCCAGCTGATCTCCAGCTCCTGGCCTAAAGCAATCTTCCCATTTTGGCCTGCCAAAGTGCTGGGATTGCAGGCATGAACCACCGAGCCTGACCAGCCATCCTTTATAACAGTTTAATGACTATTCCCAGTGACAACATTTCTAGGCATTCTCATCTGTAAAAGACTCCTGTATTATGTGGATAATATTTTTAAGTGCATTAGAAGTGTTATGATATTTTATTTTGACATTATAATTTTAAGACATTTTAATACTGGTCAGTATTAATAGTCTAATATAAATTTTAAAGTCAGTCATTTCTGCCACAATTTTGCATATCCACAACCTAGCCCTTTTTTTTCTGACTCCTATTTCTTTAATAACAACATTATTATTAAGTTATTCTTGTGAGAAATTTTTGCATTATCTTCTTCTCCCTTTCCAAAAAAAAGGTTAATCACTAAACCATCCAAGCCATCTACTGAAATCTCTCTATTTACCATTTTTTTCTGATCTACACCTGGAATACATGTTTCCTACATCTATGCCCCTGCAATGGAACTCGTTTCCCAGTCTGCTTTCACATCCTTCTTCCATATCACCAACAGTTCTTAGAATGACTCTGATAAATCATACTGATGATTGTTTTAATGAAAAAATCATTTAATTGGTTTAGAAGAACTCATATGCTTAATATGCCCTATGTTTTAAATTTATTTTTGTATCTTCTGTCACATTTCTCAGCAATATCTTTACTAGCATTACTGGACTAACATCATCTCAATTGTATTGTTCAAAGTTGTTTATGTGGTCAAGCTCAAAGTCAATAAACAAGGAAGAGCATTGGGTGTTGATGCATAATATTACAAAGAAACCAGTATTGGGGCCTATAATTCATTTTAACACATTTATAATTGCTATGGACCAAATTGTGTCCCCAAATTCATATAGGCTGAAGTCCTAAACACCTACGCCATAGGATTTGCAGAAGTGACTTTTAAGAGGTAATTAAATTTAAATGAGGTCAGGAGGGTGATCCCCTGCTATGACCTGAATGTTTGTGTTTCCTCCAAGACTCATGCTGAATCTTAATCCCTAATGCGAGAGTATTCAGAAGTGAGGCCTTTAGGAGGTGATTAAGCCATGAATGGATTAGTGTCTTGTAAAAGTACTTGAGGGAAAAAAATTACCCCTTCTGTTCCTTCTGTCATATGAAGACACAGCATTAATCAGCTTCAGAGGATGCATCAACAAGCCCCATCTTGGAAGCAGACAGCAGCCCTCACCAGACACTGAATCTGCTGGCACTCTGATCTTGAACCTCCTAGTCTCCAGCACTGTGGAAAATAGGAAAATAATGTTCTTTTCTTTATAAGTTACTCAGTCTTAGGTATTCTGTTATAGCAGCACAAATGCATTGAGAAAGACCATCATGATAGGATTGGGGACCTCACAAGAAAAGACATCAGATCACTCTTCTCTCTCTCTCTCTCTCTTGCTCTGTCTCTCTCTTTCTCTCCCTCTCTCTTTCTCTTTCTTGTGGACACAGTGAGAAGGTAAGGTTCTATACACCTGGAAGAGAGCCCTCACCAGAACCATGCTGGCACTCTTATCTTGGACTTCTAGCCTTCAGAACTGTGAGGAAATACATTTCTGCTGTATAAGCATTCAGCCTACTGTATTTTATTAGGAAGATGATAAAGAAACCCAACGTCCTTAAAGGATAGAATCAGCCCAAGCAACTGGATTTTTTAAAAATATAAAACAACAAAATATATAGGATAAAAATGTGTATAGGATCCTACTATCATTATACTGCTATTAATATCTTAATAATAAGTAATCATTATTGAGTAGTTACTCCATGGCAGACCCTGTACTAATTAATGTTACATGTATTATCTTTTCTACTCCTTACAACCTTCTGAGATAAAATAAGTGTATTTGTTTACCCCATTTTACACATGAGGGATTTGGACACAGAGAGGTTAAGTAACTTGCCTAAAGAGGTCAAACAGCTAGTAAATAGTAGAGCCAGAATTCAAATTCAGCCATTGGATTCATACCATCTTTCACATATTATTATTTCATTTGAGATGAATCCACGTGCTCCACCCTTTTACACAGAGCCATTCCAATGTGCATACAACAGTTCGTTGATCATATTAAAACATAGAATATCATTGCATGTGGTTTTGAATCATCCAGTGTTAGTTTTATTTTACCTTTTTCCTGGTGTGCTGCTGTATTTACTGTTCCACAAACACAAGATTGTTCTTGCCTCAGTATCTGTTTTCTTTGCTTAGAACACTTTCTCCAGACATTTGTAAGCCTCCTCCTTGAAATGACATATGTGCAAAGATTAATTTATTGAAATGAACATTTTAAATATTGTAAAATATTAAAACCTTGATTTTCAAAGACACAATTGACCTAGAAATTTTGCCATTCTCTATGTTGTTGGCAAAACTTTATGGTTCTTCACGACATATACTATTATCTAGAATATTGTTTATTTATGTCTCTCTGTCTCTCTCTTTACACTAAAGAGCAGTAATTGTGTGTATGCTGTGTTTTTTAATGCCAGAAGCACTTGGAAAAGAGTAGAAATATAATTAATTTTTGAATAAATGAATGTAGCAGAAAAATGTGTATTTTCTTTACTTGTTTATTTTTATCCTCTCATTAAAATTTAAGTACCATGAGAGTAAGGGATTTTTACAGCTTCTTTAATGCCAGGTGCCTATTAAAAAAATGCTTACTATATATAAGTTGAATCAATATTTAATAAATAATTAACACATAAATACTGTATTTTTTGAAGAAAGGCAAGTGAGAGAAGCAATTACTAGCACAAAGTAGAAACAGTATTTGAGCTCAGATCTGGTTCCATAGTATTTCCAGGATACAGTTTTGGGTAAAGGAAAGTTTACCTTGGTGAAAACAAACAAAAAATAATAACATGTCTCAGAGACTATCACAGTGTCAAGATTTTTAAATGTTTTAATTGGCAGGTAACATTGTATGTATTTATTGTGTACAGCATACTGTTTGAAGTATATATATATTGTGGAATGAATAAATCCAGCTGATTCACAAATGCATCACCTCACATAGTTATCATTTTTGTGGTGAGAACACTTAACATCCATTCACTCTGTTATTGTTTTTCAAGGATACATTATGTCGTCATAACGACTAGTAATATCTCTTACAGGCAGTGTTTTTGGAACAGGGCATTACCAACAGTAGCCATGAAAAACTGCTAATGTTTAATGAAACCTAAGAAAATAAAATGGGGGAAAATGTGACTAGGTCGTTTTAGAAATTGGTTGTTCTGGTGTATCACGCCAATTTAGAAATCCAGTTTAACAATTTATTGTTTATCAGGTCAGCCATCACCTGTGCTTCTACTGTTCTACCTACCATATTCTTTTTTTTTGAGGCAGTGTCTCACTCTGTCCCCGAGGGTGGAGTGCAGTCGCGCGATCTCGGCTCACTGCAAGCTCCGCTTCCCAGGTTCACGCCATTCTCCTGCCTCAGCCTCCTGAGTAGCTGGGACTACAGGCGCCCGCCACCACACCCAGCTACTTTTTTGTATTTTTAGTAGAGATGGGGTTTCACCGTGTTAGCCAGGATGGTCTTGATCTCCTGACCTTGTGATCCACTAGCCTTGGCCACCCAAAGTGCTGGGATTACATGCGTGAGCCACTGCACCCGGCTGTCTACTTACCATATTCTTAATTCATTTTCTTTGTACAATAATTGGGCCAGGCGTGGTGGCTCATGCCTATAATCCCAGGACTTTGGGAGACCGAGGCAGGAAGACCACTTGAGCCTAGGAGTTCAAGACAGGCCTCGGCAATAAGGTGAGACCACAGTCTCTACAAAAACCACAAAAATTAGCCCAGCAAGCTGAGGTGCACCTGTAGTCCCAGCTACTTGGAAGGCTGAGGTAGGACAACTGCTTGAGCCAGGGAGGTCAAGGCTGCAGTAAGCCAAGGTCACACCACTGTACTCCAGACTGGGAGACACAGTGAGACTCTGTCTCAATAAATATAAATAAACAAATAAATAAATGATACTTTAAATAGAAAATGCATTTTTTAGTTTTACAAGAAGAAAAACACTTTCTTCTAAATTTAAGTCAGTGTAGAGGAGAAAATTGTCTCCTCCTATAACTTTTAATATCAGCAAGTGGTGGTATCCGAAGACACCTGTCTTAGTCCGTTTGAGCTGCTCTAACAAAACTACGTTAAGCCAGTATTTACCTTACATCTTTTTATTTAAATAAACATCTAACTGTTCTGGACTCTGGAGATCCAAGAACAAGATGCAGGCAGATTTAATATCTGACGAGAGAGCCCTCTTCCTGGTTCATGGCAACTTCTGTCTGTGTCCTCACATGGTGAAAGGGGAAAGGCAACTCTCTGGAACATCTTTTATATGGTTACTAATTCTATTTATGAGGGCTCTGCACTCAGGATCTAGTCACCCCCCAAAAGCCTCACCTCACATATCATCATCTGGATGATTAGGTTTCAACAAATAAATTTGGGGTGACACAAATATTCAGACCATAGTAAATCCTGATGGAACAAATTCCCTTATCTTTAATTATGCCTGGCCCCTCAATCTTGAGAAGTCAGACCTCTCCTCAGTGAAGCATATTTAAAAATAATAAATAACGCTACTATTTCAAATGATTTCTTCTACATTTTAGGACAGTTTTTCTGCTCTTTTTATGCTCGTTGATTTTTTTTTGAAAAGCATAAAACTTTTCTGGATTTCTTGGGACCACTGTTGCAGGATTCTGATAAGTTTTAGTCCCTGTAAAAGACAGCGTTGAAATGAGACTAAAAAGAGAAGTGGTCATTTTTGGGGTAATTATCTTGCTAGGGCAAATACACACACAAACATACACACACACATGCACACAGAAACTATAAATCATAACTCTGATACTTAAAGAGTTCATAAGGTGTGTATAGATAAATTATATTCTATATTGAACATAGCCTGTTCTAAGTAAGTAATACCAAAAATAAAGGCCAAAAGGAGTCAGGGAGGAGACAGACCACTTCAGAGAGCATAGTCTAAGGAAGCTTCATGAAATATCATATTTTAGCTGTGATTTAAAAGAGTCAGGAATTCAAACAGAAGTATCAAATACATATCTAGTAAGTTTAAATAGATTTTTCTCAGTGTTTACTCAATTCCGCTATGAGAACTTCAAAGGATCAATGCAATCTGACCCTCTATTATACAAATTTGAAACAAGAAGCGGTGTATGTATAAGGTTATTCATGTTCTGTAAACAGTTGTGAAGAACCAAAGGCACTGTACTATCCCAAGTAATATAAATAAGTTAATTCTTCCTTCATATTTCATAATATCTATGTCTGCCCATATAGGAAAGGCATTGGTATACTGAAGTATAAAACATATTTAAAGTCTATCAGTTGAGTAGCTTATTTGGAGGTTAATATCAACATTGCATTGTTGTCATTTGTTAAGTAAAATATTTAATAGATGATTTGTTTCTGCCAAAAATTTAATACTGAAAGAAAATATTGAAACTGCCTTTATGTAAAAGAAGAAGAAATATAGAAATATATATATACATGTATATTTATATTAAATACAGAAAATGTATTTTGCTGAATATTCTTTCTACATTTTTATGTTGAGCAATAGAGAAATAATTGAATACCTCAGCAATGTTTTGAACCACTGTCAGAAGTGTTTTCTCATAGTAACAAAAAGTGACTCAGAGGTAGGAGTGCAAATTTTAATAATAAGTTCCCGTTCATCCTCATGAACATAAAAAAATGGCCACAATAGAGAAATGTTTTCTTAGAAAACATTTCATGTAAACAGTGTTCATTTAAATTCAAACGAAGGGACAATTTTTAGAAATTAACATAGGTAACCTATTTTTAAATTTCATTTAAAAAAAAACTTGATACTTGCACATAATTTTTCTTGTATCAAGCCAAATTAGAAGAAAAATGTTTCTCTGTGAAAATAATTCTACATTTTTAAATAAAAAAAGATAAATTATTTGAATGTAACTACAACAATACAGTGTAAATATTTGTAACAACAATAAATTACACGATACTAAAGTCATATTCAAACTGACTTTGATTGCTTATAATTAATTGTAGACAAGGTTTAGAGTTTAGCTTGCCAATTACTTGGCAGAAGGAAAAGTAGAGGCTCACAGTAAGCATTTTCTGGCATCAAACTTTCTAGGATTCCCTTTTTTTAGAATTCATTAATTGTTACTACCAGATTGTTTTGGCTAACAAGATTTCGGTATCTAAGGCACATAAAATCTACACTGGTATTTACACCATTTTTCTTACGTTGAAAATCTTATTTATCTCAACGCTATCTCTATGAAGGCTCGTATAAGGATGGTTAAGTTACTACCAAGCTCAAATATCCTCAAATAAGTGTTGTCATTCATTTAATATACTTAAATAAAATCACCCCAGCATAATTTGTTGTTTTTCTCTGATAATTTTCTTGTATTTCTACATTTACTTTCATTTCATATTATATCCAGTTAATTAAAAATAACACATTTCAAAATGAATTTGGAAAGATACAATTCTGATGTATCTGTGAGATTGTTTTACTATAATATAGCTCACCTCCTTGAGCAAAAGGATTAAGTAGAATTACAATCTTAATATTTGATAGATCATTTGTTTCTGAAAATAAAAATGTTGAAAAGAATGAGAAACAACTAATACATACAACTACTATTAAAAAGAGACAAAAGAGAAATAGACTTTATCTGAAGGGAATAATCCAAGACACTACTCTAGGTCTTTTCTATTTTTCCTTCACTTTTTGTTTAACAAATGAATTAAATAAGTGTACTTCCTCCTTCCTCCTTTTTTTAAAAAAACATAGATTTTGTGCACTTACATAAGCTTAGATACAGCGTAGGTCTTAGCAATGCCCTTATGTTTGAAATGAAGACAGACAAGCCTAGAAAGTGTAAATGTTGTCCTCTAAAACAAACATCTATTAGAGGTGTTAAGGATAAAGGTGGTGGTTAACTACTTTCTAAATAATCCATTTCACCCACAGTGAATTTAGTCCTAGGTTGCCTTCCTTGAGCTGGTTGATATAATTATTCCCACTATTTACTAATTACTTTCCTGATGCCACTCACCTTGGTAAACTATGCAAAAAGGTGACCATCCTCATTTTTATTGGAAACCACCTTTTTTATTTGCTTTGCCAATGGGTCATATAGAAACTGATAATGTGGTTTCAATGTTTGTATTCTTGTGCAGTTTTATTGTTTATGGAGGAGTTGATATTCATGTCAAAAAACTCTGCAATACATCTAGCATTAAAAATTTATTGTTAAAAAATAGTATTGCTTCATTTTTCTTCAAAGAATGATTGAACATGAATAAATGTAGTTGAACAAAGCAGATTAACAAGGCAATATGAACACCAAGCTATGTTTGTGTGACTTAGACAAAAACAATACTTTATAAAATTAGAAAAAATGTAAGTATATGACTTAGCTTCTCAATAACAATAACCTCAACCACTAACTCATTGTATAGTATACAAATCCATTTAGTGAATTTACCATAATAGACCATTATCAGTATTACCATAATAGACCAGTATCAATCAAATTAATTAGTAACTGAAATTTACTAGAAAATCCTAATTTGTTATAAAGCCAATCAATATCACACTTTTATGAAAATTATCTGTTATGACTGCTTGTTCTTTTTTCAATTTTCATAAAAATGATAGCTACATTTTATATTTTGAATGAAATCATAGAACTTAAATGGTATTTAAACATTATTAATTTTAAATTGACATCTTCTTGCAACTGATTAGTGGAAATGATATAAAAACTACAAAAGTGTGATTAGTAAATAACCACATAAAATAAGCTGCAATGCTTTAAGAGAATTATACTAGATTTTAGGAAAAATAAACTCAATGTTTTGAATTACTTGTATGTTGATGCCCCATCAATTTCATATCCCTTATGTTTGAGTCACCTTCAACTTTAAAAAGTTTTTACAAGCTACTGTTTTTGACATTTATTAGTTTTTTAAATTACAAAAGTCATTTAAAACAATGATGTTCTTTTATTTTTTTAAACCTATCTTTAAAGGTAGCATTGATTCAAGTAATATAGGAAACAATGATGTTGAAATATAATTTTAGACCATAGATGGACTTATAGTAAGTGCAGAGCAATAAAAAATGACCAAACATTCTTTGTTACTCCCCCTATGGAAAGATGGGGTTTATCTCTCCCTATATTGATGGTAGGTTGGTATTAACTATTACAACTGATGGAATGCAAGGAACCCGCACTTTCCTTGAGTGCCAGTTCAGTTCTTTGCTCTTATTAGACCTTGCCAACCTGCTTTCTCTTTCTTAAAATGCTTGCTCTTGAGATGTTCCCTTTCACAACCATGACACCAAGCTGTGAGAAGCACAGCCCCTGCGTAAATGATTCAATTGACAGTCCCATCTAAGTCCAGCCACTCAGCACAACTGCTGGCCATGTGAGTGAGTCATCTTGGAAATGAATTTCCTAGCTTCCGGAACTACCCTAACACCACGTGGAGCAGAGCAAAGAACTATCCAAATGACAAATTGTAAAAAATAAATAATTGTTTGCAGCCACAATGTTTTATTTTAAAGTTTTTTTTAGTACTTTTAAAAATCTTCCAGTTTTTCTCAAAACCTATTATAGTAGATAGAGAACAAAATTTTTCTGTAAGAATCAGGTGAAAATCTTAATTCTAAAGTCTTTTCTGCCACTCCATCTGATACTATATTATTTTCTCTCTAAAATATGTTCTCAATGATACATACTATTCTTTTTGAATTTTGTTTTATTTTATTTTAAGTTCTGGGATATATGTGCAGGACATGCTGGATTGTTACATAGGTAAACGTGTGCCATGGTGGTTTGCTGCACCTATCAACCCATCACTTAGGTATTAAGCCGCCACATGCATTAGCTGTTTATCCTGATGGCCTCCCTCACCTCCCCGACAGGCCCCAGTGTGTGTTGTTCTCCTCCCTGTGTCCATATGTTTTCATCATTCTGCTCCCAATTATAAGTGAGAATATGCAGTGTTTGTTTTCGTGTTCCTGTGTTAGTTTGGTGAGGATAATGGCTTCCAGCTCCATCCATGTCTCTGCAAAGAACATGATCTTATACTTTTTATTGCTGTGTAGTATTCCATGGTTTATATACCACATTTTCTTTATCCAGTCTATCATTGATGGGCATTTGAGTTGATTCCATGTCTTTGCTATTGTGACTAGTGCTACAATGAATATACACTTGCAGATATATACTGTTCTTTAATTTTCATCTCGAATGTCTTTTTCCATTCTTTTTTCTTATTCAGATAAGTTCTAACTTTGGGGGATAAATAAAATACCAGCTTAGTATTTAATTTTAGACTTTAAAATATATAAATAATGTAATAATGTACTAAATTTTAGCAGCAGTTAATTTTTGTACTGTCAAAATTTTCATAGCAGCAAATGTACATTTGTTATGATCAATAATTCACAACATAGTAATCTCTGATTAGATCTTTATAATATTTACTTTTGTCTTTTACACTGCTGGTGGGAATGTAAACTAGTACACCACTATGGAAAACAGTATGGAGATTCCTTAAATAACTAAAAGTGGAACTACTATTTGACTCAGCAATCCCATTACTGGGTATCTACCCAGAAGAAAAGAAGTCATTGCATGAAAAAGACACTTGTACACCCATGTTAATAGCAGCACAATTTACAGGAACCAGCCTAAATGCCTATCTACCAACAAGTGGATAAAGAAAATGTGGCATATATACAACATAAAACATTATGCAGCTGTAAAAAGGAGTGAGATCATGACATCCGCAACAACCTGGAAGGAATTAGAGAGATTGTTCTAAATTAAGTAACTCAGGAATGGAAAACCAAACATCTTATGTTCTCACTTATAAGTGGGAGCTAAGCAATGAGAATGCAAAGGTATAAGAATAATGGACTTTGGAGATGCAGGGAGAATCTAGGGGAGGGGGGCAAAGGATAAAATAATAAGTATTCAATACAGTGTACACTTCTTGGGTGATGTGTGCACCAAAATCTTAGTAATTACCACTAAAGAACTTAGTCTATGTAACCAAAAACCACCTTTTCCCAAAAAACTGTTAAAATAAATAAATAAAAATAAATATCTAATTTATAGGAGACAAATAAAATTTAAACAATTTTTTCAAATACTTTCCAGTCAATATACCAGTTGAAAAAGCAGAATTTTACTTAGCATATTATTAGATCGACTTGCGTGCTTGATTTTGAATTTGTTCCTCGTTTGTAAGTCAATACAGTAGAATAATATATTAATATGATGATGTGTTTTTATCTACTTCTTTATCTACTCAGCTGATAAAGAAGTAGATAAAGTGAGATGACTAGAATCTCTTTTTCATATTAAAAACCATGCCCTCTTAGAACAACACATTTGATTTTCATCGAATAGAAAATTATTGTAAAATATTGATTTTGTTCAAATAAGGCACTGAACCGCTAACTGCTAGAAACATATTATAATGTCTAAAAAATTTGTCCATATTTAGTCACTTAAAGTATAATAATACAAGGAAAGTAATTTCAAAAAAAATAGGATCTTTATTGTGTATAATAAATAGACAAAAACCTTAGAGGTAGCATATTTGTACAGTATACAACCTACATAACAATGCATAGGAGCCCTGGGGAGTGGCCTGGAGTGAAAACTTAGTGCTAGGTAAATAAGTAGAATGTGCTCTTATTCTAAGCTTTAACTAATGCATAGCAAGAGGAGGTGATATTTTAGTTGAGTTTAATTGAAGCAAGTATTTCTTCCTAAAATAATCACAAATGCAAGGCCTTGAATAGATAAAGAAAAGAGGGCATGGTTTTGATATGAATAAAGGATTCTGATAATCTCACTACAAAATAACAATACAAAATCAGAGACTCAGTCTCATAAGGTGACAAGTCTTAGCTATGAAATAGAGTAGGTGACAAAATTGTTACATTTTTAAAATCTCTGCTTAAAATCAGGATTTATCTTGAAGCTAAAAGGAGGGCTGGGCTTACAAGTAGGAATCATATTGCCTCAGTTTTAGGGTGGCAAAATCTTGCAGAATCAATAATTCAGTCAATAATAAAGAGATGTGACCCATTAATTACATGTAATATATATTTTTGTTTAATTCCAAGTACATATATCATTATATTTAACAGCTGATGTATGCTACATATAGGAATTGGCTAGATTATTTCCCAACTTAGGTTTTTATACACCTTCCAACACATTTTCTTTGCCGGTCCTTCATATCATCTTGGGTAGCAAATTCCATAATTTTAAGCCACTGTCAAGTACATAAAACAAACAAAGTCATATTAAACCTTCCATCTCATGCTCAATTAAATAATCCCCCTCCTTTATCAGCATTAGTGCTATTGTCCCAAAGTAACTGTAGGGAGATGTAATGCAATTGGTTCCTCCCCACTCCATTGGCCTATCTCATCTCTAGTGTGATGGGAGCCAAGGGAAAAAAGAAAGCACCCCTTGCTAAAAAAAAAAAAAAAAAAATCTTTCCCATGGCAATCACTGGTTATATATGTAAGACTGACCTCTGTCAGGTGCCCGCTGTGTGCCAGATGGCTTTGTGTACTACAAGTATAAAGTTTTCAGAGGATTGTGAAGGGAACCTCTTTGTGGCAGAGTCTCTCAATAAAGAATGTCTGCTTTGATTCAATGCCTTCTTGCCCTTCCCCTCCTCTCTTAGCTCCAATTGCAAAAGTACACCTCACAAATTTCTTTGTACATCATCTTGGGAGGATGGAGAATGTGTCTAAGAGCTCAAACACCATTGAATGTCATGTCATTCCTAGAAAATTTATTCATCCTCGCCAAACCAAATAGGAGGAATGCATGATTCCCCACTTTTGAAATATTAATCTTCCCAAACTTACTTCCCCAGCCTTTTTTTCTGTATGCTCAAATAGTCATCGTCATCAGTTTCTTTCACTTATCATTAACATAAGCAGTCTATAAGTCTGAGAGTGTGAGGCTGTCCTTTGTCCAAGCACTCCAATTTCTCTAAATAACTACATTGAAGCTTCTTCATTGTGCTGGTATATCGTTTTCAAATTCTTCTCCAGTTTTTCTTTTTTTCTGCTTTTCAGTCAGGTGTGAGGAAATGGAGAAGTTGAATTGGTGGCTGGGAGTCTACACTTCAACTGTTTGCAACTCCCTTCAGAAAACATGGCCCTTTGATGTCTCTTCATGTTTAGCTTGTAGTCAGAGTAGCCAATGTAAGTGCATTTAGAAGAGTTTCATACTGCATTTTCTTTTATATTCTAATTATGTATTAAAGAATACTTAATTTCCAATACTTGGTTCTATGCCTTTAATCTGTATTTATCAATTGGCTAATGCAGTTTGAGAGCAACACAGTATTCCCTTCCTTCATGAAGCCTATGTTTCAGAGGTAGAAACACAACAACAACCACCACAACAAAATGCAAATGTATATTGATATTTAACTGGATCATATGCTATGAAGATATAGATTATGTAATAAAAGATAACTGTGATTTAAGCAAAACACTCGATACGGTTATCAGTAAAGACCTTCTGAAAGAGATACCTGATTTGAGATCCAACAATATGGGTAAATGATTTTATAAAGATAAAAAGATGAAACATAAATGCAAATGCCCAGAAGTAGAAATCCTATTGATGTATTGCAGGAAAGTAGAAAACTGAGATGCCAGAGGTTATGGTTTATGGTATGTGGAAGAGAATAAGTTGAGAAGAGATCAAATATGTGAAATGACTTAGTAGTAATTGACCGTGATAAAAAACTTGGATTTTATTTTAAGTGCAAGACAAAGTCCTTGAAAAGTTTTAGACAGAGGTATGAAATGTCATAACTTAGGTTTTGAAGAGCAGAAAGGATTTTAACAGATAAAGGCAAAAGTAAGGAGGACTTAGGAGGAACGGAATGATGACTAATGAAGCTAGGAGAGTAAACCAAAGGAAGAAATAAGATGGATTACGGAATTATTTTGGAGTAAAAACAATGTTTTTCAATGAGTTTGAACACAGGATTAAAGGAAAGAGAAGCATCAAACATGAGTATTTTTATATTTTTAATGTGAACCTAAGTGTGAGGGTGATGACATTCACATAGATAGAGATGAGCAGTCTAAGAAGAGATTTGTGGGGATATAGAAAAAAAAAATAATAGTTTTCATGTGGACACATTATATTTGATGTGTCCATGAAATATTCAAGAAGAGTAACATAACCCAAACAGTTGTTTAACTGCAACAGACACTGGCAAATGACATAAATTCCAATAAGAAGATGAAGCTAGAATTTTAAATGATTGACTAAAGGTCAACAGTAGTCCACCATGGGAGGGTGAGGCCACTAAGGACTGAAGATATTGATTGTTCATACCCTCTTAAAGTCTTTTCTTCCAAGAAACTCTCTGAGCACCTATAGGGAAGACTAGGGAAAGTGCCAGGAACTCTTCCCCCAACTCCTGGCCTGGATGGGAAAGGAGAACAACAACCATTAAAGAAACTCCACATCTTACCTATCTTTCAGATGGAATAAAGCCTAATAATCAGTATGGATATATTAGTCAAAGTTCTCCAGAGAAACAGAATCAACATAAAGAATTGGTTCACAAGTTTATGGAGGCTGAGAAGTTCTAAGATCTGAAGTTAGGAAACCGATTACTCAGAAGAACTTATTGTGTAGTTCCAGTCCGAGTCCAAAGGCTTTAGAACCAGGAGAATTGACAGTGTAAATTCCAGTAGAAAAGCCAATCGTCTCAAGACGTAAGAAGAGCTGATGTTTTAGTTCTAGTTCAAAGACAAGAAAAGACTAAGGATCCATCTCAGTAGGCATGAAAATTTCCTCTAACTTAAAAGGTTAACCTTTTTTTTTTCTATCCAAGCCTTCAACTGAGTGGATGACAGCCACTCACATTAGGAAGGGTAACTTGCTTTACTCAATCTACCAATTCAAATGTTAATAGTATCCAAAACCACGATCACAGGCATACCCAGAATAATGTTTCACCAAATATCTGGTGGTTGTTTTTCCAAGCGTGATTAATTCTGGTGCTACTCCTTGAGGCACAAGAGATGAGTGAGGTGATGCAATGTACTGTAGTTCTCTTTCCATTTTTTATATTATGACTTGAGTTATTATAAGAGCACAAGACACTGGATAATTATGGGCAAATTCAACAGTCTGCTCTTAGCAGAGGTAGACTTCAAATAACGTATCATATATTATCATGCAGATGCTGGTTTTTTCTTTTTGTAATTCAAAACTGCATCCCATTTAAAACTCCATTTAAATCTTATACATGATAAAATTTTTGGCATGATATTGGGTATTTTATAAATCAAACAATAATCAAACTGTTACTATGAAGTGTGGGAATCCTCGGTTCTTCTCTAACTTGGGACAAAGATTTGGCCAAGAGACAATTAGTAATGTATGCAAAGTGTTTATGAAGGAGCTAAGGGTAGACTCCAAGAGAGGAGCAGGCTGACCTGGTTGGAAAACAGCTCCAAACTGGCCCAGCTGGAAAAATAGCATTACCAGGGTTTATTTTAAAAGACAGTAACTCTTAAAGACCAGTCACAGCAGGCTGGTCGAAAGAGAGAATGACCCAGCAGCAGCCCTGAGAGTTCTGCATTGGTTTTTATGACGCTGGATTTTTTTCTTGAAGTTCTGCCTCTGTTTTAAGTCTCTGCCTTCTTTCTTTGTCTAATTTTTCTGCTTCTGCTCTAAGTCCCTGCCTAGTTTCCACCCAGGCTTGTGGGCCCCTCTCTTAATATTTGTTGGTTCACATGCGTGGGCCTGGTGTCCCATATGAATTCTACCTAATGGCTGCATTGATCATTACCTCCCTCCCAGGTAGGTTTAATAGCAGTCAAATCTGTACTTATACTTGTGTATCTCTTAGACATTTTTCCTTTGCCCTCTTCCCTTCTTATCAGCATGTAGCTAGCTACATTCTGACAGGTTAACTGCAGAGTGAGCGATTACTGGGTGTCTTAGGGGCGTTTCTTTCTGCATAGATATTTCCCCTTATCTCTGCTCATATGTAGCATGTATGATTTGGGTGGTCTCAGGCGTATGAGATTCTCCAGACCCTTTTTTCAGAGTATCCCCCTCCTGCTCATGTCTAACTATCTGACTACTTTCACAAAACTTTTTTTGGTTAATGCTAGTTTTTAAAATATAACAGGGTTGCAACTTTATCAGTAGAAGACAAAGCTTTATCAGTAGAAAGCCTTTTGGACTTTAATTCGACTTACTTTAGCTTGAACATTAAACACGTAATAATTGTTTTATTAAGACACACTGTTTGATTTTTGGTAAAGATCCAGACCAGCATTGTTATGTAGAACTGTCTAGTGTTTATTAAACACTTAAATGTGGCTACAACTATTAAAAAACTGAACTTTAAATGCTATTTATTTATAATTAATTTATATTTAAATGTAAGTAGCCACTTGTAGCTAATGGATACTGTATTGGACAGCACCAATTCATAGAACACTACTAGAGTGCTAGAGTGCTCTATATTAGCTGGAGTGCTATTGAGCCTGGGCCATGGTATATATTGTGTTATTCCTATTATTTAACTTAATTCTACCAATCTTGTTAAATTCCCTAAATAACATAATATTTATTGAAACCTGATTGACCAAAGTTAACTGACAATATATATTCCTTCTAATTATGGGAAGACAATATAATGAAAAATAAGAAATTTTATTCTATTGCACTGTGCATCTTTAGTCTACATCTACATTGAGTGAAGAAATAAGAGAAAAACAACATTGCATTTATAATCCTTCATAAGTATAAGACATGCTTAGACATTGTAAACACTTTTAAAATATTATATATTCTTTCTATGTAATGTTATCCTATATTGTCCTCAAGTGTTTTGTCTATTAACATGTGCATCTGTATTTTGGTACTTCTTAGCCTGGGATATTAATGTGAAGTTTAAACATTTTTGGTTTATTATGTTTACTGACTGATTTCTATGTTCTAGTTTTCATAGAAACATTAAGTATTTTTTATGAGAAAATGTATTTTGAAATTAAAAACATGGCTCAAATAAAAAATAAACAATCAATTCATCTACATAAAAACTACAAAAGTTCAAATTCATTTCCATTTTGCCTGCCAACATATGGAAAGGACAGAGGACTGCAGGACAGGCCATATCTGGTAAGCTATAAGAGTGTATGTAATAAAAATATGTCATCAACTCTCTGAAAAGATCTCTTATAAGTGATGCTATAATGTTTTAAATCTTCCAAAAGTAGACCATAGTTAGAGTCAGTTGGCAACCACAAGCAGAGAAAGTTAACCAATTTTTTCTATTGATCAGCAGCCAGTTTTTTATTAAAATGTCATCTAGGCCAATATTCATTACAACAAATTTTTTTTTATTTTGTTTTCTCCTCACTGTCTGAGCTAAAACTGTGTTCATAAGACATAGTTTTTAAATTCCCCAAACTTTGGATATTTATGTATATATTTAATTGGTTAATTTTCTAATTAATTTCACGTGTTTAGTATTATATGATTATGATCTTATATGTGAAGAATATGGACTCTGAAACCATCTAACATGTTTCTACTCAATTTTTTATACCATATATTATAAAAAGAGAAAGCATAAATAATATTTCTTTTTTTATCTAATTAAGGAACATTGAGATAACTTTTTATCTCTGTTGAATAAAGGTAAAACAGCTTTCTAAACACCTACCCTAAAATGCTCTGTTTCAGCATATATTCCTTAAAGAGTTCTGAAGAAAAAGCATCAACGGGACTTCACTGTACTAGTCTGCTGTCTCCTCTGCCTTAGAGAAGCAAAGAAAAGTGCTGGAGAAACACATGACAATGCTTCTCCCTCAAGGTAGTCTCAGTTAAGTAGTAGAGAAGGCACAGTTGTTAATTTATTCTGTACAAAGAGTACATAAACTCAAAATATGTAAAAAGTATATTGGATCTTATCTATGTAAATAAGCAATCAAACAAAACACAGGAAATTATAGATGTCAAACACTAGGCAATCCAAAATCATTAAAGGAAATGCAAATCTATTAAAACAATAGATAAAACTAAAGTTATTTCGTTTAGCTAATAGAATCTGGAGAACGCTATAGTTTCTTTATTTACACTTACTTTTTTGGCAAGTCATATGTTTTTAAGCTGATAAAAGTAAATTAGTTAAAAGATTAAGATACATAAAGAAAATTTTAAAATAGAAATAGCGAACATTTTTAGTGCTTAACTCTGCATTAGACATGACTTAGTCCTTTAAGTGAATCCATTCAGTTAATCCAAAAAGATACATCAATGTGTTAGCTATTATTACTATTCCCACTGTATAGATTAGAAAATGGGGTCTAATGTGGTTAGAGTGCTTGCAAAAGATAACTCTAGTATGGTGGAAGTTCCTAAATTCAAATATAATCAGTGAGACTCTGAGTCCTCATTTCTTAAACAGCATTACACAGCTTCATGATCCTTTCCAAATTCCTGTGAACTCTACTAATCTCAGTTCTATTTCTTCTTTAAGAAATAGTTTGGTGGGTTTTTTCTAACCTAGTTCTGTTTGTGCCATATATACATTTACTAATTAATTTATTCAACACATATTTTTGGAATTAATTATGTAAGATAATTTTGCTAATCACTGGATATAGAGCACTGAACTAAGCTGCCATTGTATCTGATCCCAGGAAGCTGGAGAATAGCTGGACAATAGACAATGAGTTGCATGAATATAAAAACTAAGAGTTACTGTTCCTGTGATAAAGATAATTAAAAAGTTTGGAAACAAGAAGGTTAACTTGGTAAAATGGATGCAGCGAAATGTTAGAATATGAATAAAAGATGTAAGTTAAAAATCTATTTTTTTAAATGTTTACCTTAAGATTATTTCAAGTGTATCATTAGTGACTAGTTGCACCCTATGATAGCTGTAGCTAGAAATCAATGGTAAAACTCCATGGGTTTTGTTGATGGAAGTAAGATGATGTGGCACTGTTCAGCACATCTGTATTGAAAGGAAATGTCTTGGCTGTTTATTAAGAGAATGCAAATGAATGTCTGTTTTATGATTTAAATAAAAATAAAATTTTAAATTTTGGAATATTTTTCTTAAGAAACCAACTATGAAAGATATGAGATAAAGGCAATATATACATTTTTATTTATTAATTATCTGTCAGGTAGAAATGATGCTTAGCATATGTGTCAGGTATATATTTTTAAATAAAGTCAGATAATCTGTCTTTATCAACTTTTTTTTTTTTTTTTTAAGACAGGATCTCACTCTGTGGCCCAGGCTGGAGTGCAGTGGTGTGCTCTCAGCTTACTTGTAGCCTCTGCCTCCCAAGTTCAAGCAATTCTCCCACATCAGCTGCCCAACTAGCTGGGACTACAGGCATGCACCACCACACCCAGCTAATTTTTGTATTTTTTTGGTAGAAACAAGACTTCACCATGTTGACCAGGCTGGTTTTAAACTCCTGACCTCAAGTGATCTGCCCGCCTTGGCCTCCCAAAGTGATGGGATTACAGGTGTGAGACACTACTTTATCAAATTTATTGCAATTTTTGTCACTTGCGATGTGATCAGTTTCACAAATGCTTAATATATACTTAGACGGAAATTTTATTCACTGAGACACAATATCTGGTGCTAATGCATTTTTTATTTTTCTGTGGTACATGGTTTTTAATTTTTTTGAAAGCTTTTAATATTTATTTATTTTCCCTCAACATTATGAATTTTTTTTTTAGGATATATCCAGACAAGGTCATTCAAAAAAAAAAAAAGAAAAAAGGTCTTCATTGCTTCCCATAGTCCCATTGAAACTTGTATATTTTAATCTTATACCTTTCTTTTATTCTAAGAAAATAAACTCAATTCACTAAAATGCATGCATGCATGAACCTAAAATGTCTCAGATGCTGTTGTAGCATGTGGGATGTAACAATGAAAAACCGAGTAAAAACCCTGCTTTCAAAAGGGGTTCATTCCAGCCTTTATTTTTTTTTTTTATTTATTTATTTTTTGAGACGGAGTCTCGCTCTGTCGCCCAGGCCGGACTGCGGACTGCAGTGGCGCAATCTCGGCTCACTGCAAGCTCCGCTTCCCGGGTTCACGCCATTCTCCTGCCTCAGCCTCCCGAGTAGCTGGGACTACAGGCGCCCGCCACCGCGCCCGGCTAATTTTTTGTATTTTTAATAGAGATGGGGTTTCACCTTGTTAGCCAGGATGGTCTCGATTTCCTGACCTCATGATCCACCCGCCTCGGCCTCCCAAAGTGCTGGGATTACAGGCGTGAGCCACCGCGCCCGGCCTCCAGCCTTTATTTTTGACTTGATTATTTTATTCTCTTCATTTTTCCCTTCTGTTAATGAATAAATTATTTCAAATAACTGATAGAAGTTAGTGGTTACAAAAACGATAGCGTGAAATACATTTTGTGTCTATGACTCTCTAAAATACACAAACATGTATATAAATGTTTTGTCTTTCGATAATGAATACATACGACGACTTTGGTACATTCATAGGACTGAATATTATTCAGCCCTAAAAATAAATGAGCTAACAAGCCATGAAAATATATAGAGGAACTGTAAATGCCTATTACTAATTGAAAGAAACCAAACTGAAAAGGCTACACCCTATGTTATTACAACTATATGACAATCTGAAAGACAAAACCATGGAGATAGTAAAAAGATGAGTGCTTGACAGTGAAACTATTCTGTATTATGATATCTTGGTAGATACATGTCATGATACATTGTCAAAATCCATAGAATATACAAAAGTGGACCCTGTAGTAATCTATGGATTTTGGTTGACAATAAAGTGTCAATGTTGGGTCACAGATTGTAACAAATGTACCCCTCTTGTTGGGGACATTGATAATGGGGAAGGTTTTGTGTGTGTGTTAGGTCTGAGGGTGTATGGGAACTCTCTGTACTTATTGCTCAATTTTGCTGTGAACATGAAACTGCTCTAAAATTAAAATGTATTAATTTTAAAAATATTCTGTGATCTGCAAAAGATAAAAAAACTACAGGCACAATGTAAATACTAAATACAAATAGAATTATGGCTATTTGTTGTTTTTAGTATAGGTTGCTCTTTTAGGAAATATTTTAGCACATGAAAGAAAAATAAAACATAATTTTTGAAAAATAAAACATAATTTTTGAAAAATAAAAACAAAAGATAAGTATACTTGTTTTATTATTTTTTTCAAACTGTTAGTAAATCTTGAAGAAATTTAAACATCCTTTTGATATATTGATGAGCAGCCTGCTCTTGGATGCTCTTGGGAGATAATTCTCCGTGGGTATTTTGCATTTCTTCATGTCCACTAAGGAATAAACAGCCTTAGGTCCGGACAATCTTTTTAAGAATGTTTGTATAGCAAACAATCTTGGAAGACAGCAAGAGTGTCTTATATCAGGGCAAGAGGAAGCTGTGTTTTCTGATCAGGATAATGAAGATAATGGCTTTGTATAAGGCAAAAAGAGCACTAGCAACCTCTTTATAAGAGATTCTTCAGCAGAGACACAAACCTACTGTGTGTCCAGCATCTACCTGGGCCACTCTGCATAATCCTGGATAATCTTCAGAGTGAAGGGGAGCCAGTGAAACCCTAAAACATGTACTGTCTGCTGATTTGTGAGTTATAAAGTCCTTTGTCTCTGATTCGGAAATCTTGTGTCTTCTTTCGGCATTTATAAAATGGTGGCAGGCTAGCAGGTAGCTTATAATTAGGATAAAATTTCAGAGTTTTTACAGTTCTTGACTAAGATAGTATTACTCTCTTACTGTGTCTAGTCTTACTACTTCTACCAGGTGATGCTTGTGAGGTCAAGTCCTTTCATTACATCAAACCACAGTTGAGTAGCAGCATCTTCCATACATATAAGGGAGATTAAGTGTTTCTTAAATTTTTCTACATTGTAGATATTGCACATTTCAACAGAGTTTCTCTTGCTTCTTTCGACATTCAACTATTTAATTTCCCTCTAATGAATATCCTTGTTTTGAGATCATAATTCCACCACAGTTTGTGATACACTGCTACGTGTTCCTAGAGATATTATACAAATAATTATTATATAGTGGTTTTAAAATGTAATTGTTCAATCCTTTTCCTACATACAGGCAATACATTTCAAAATATAATATCAATAATGTGTTTTGTTTTATATAATTGAAGTAATGCATTAGGCATGAATAAAAGAAAGGTTAATAGTTTAATTTGAAACTTCATAACAGTAATCAATAAAATTTAATTGCATGCATTTCATTATTAATAGCCTAGAATTTCATTCTTGATTTCATCATGTGGTATGGTTAACTATGGTCTTTTGGTTAAATAAATTTAATTTCATAAGAGATCAAATTACTGCTATGGGCATGCAATACCTGAATACTTCATATTATTATTTCTAATTTCACATCTACTGAATTTAATTAATGGTTTACTTTAATTGATTTTATTTTCTAAAATACACAGCCTAACATTTTATTTTGTTAAATACTACTGCTTAAAAAGAAAAAGATAGTGATGAGCTTCTAATATAATGTCATATTGGTAAATATATTGGAAATTTAAAAAATTAATTTTCTCACTGATATTTTTAACTGTAGTCTCAGGTAGCTTTATAAATTAAAGAAATATTAAATAAATTATATATTAAAAGTAAAAATCTGAAAATAAAGTTTACATAGACATACAATATAAAATATAATTCTGAGGAAAATTTTCACACAAGTTATAGGACTCAAAATGTCAGTCAATTCAATCTGTTTTGACCCATCTTTAGTAAACTCCAGGCAGAATATATCTATATATTCTAGTAGCATACACTGAGTATTTTTTGAAAAAGCTACTCTTAATTAAACTAATATAATTTCTGATTCAGTTTATCTATAATTTTCTCTATATTTTAACTCATTTTTGAAGTAGAGTGTAAATTAATTTTTAAGATAATATAAATAGTGCCGACTCTAGTACTAATCATACACCCATTATATAGTTACATGTTTTAGTATACATATACACATACTGGACTTACACATGTTATCTATATATGTGTACACATGCATATGTTTGTCAAATAATTAAAAATACTTCTTAGGTTGCTACCAGCACTCTTTCTGTTACAACAAAGATGTCTTACCAATGTTTATATTATGTCATTTATTATGCTCTTTTGCAAATGTTATCTGCTTAACATTCAAATAAGTGAATTGGGTATGTATTGTCATCACCATCTTATTGATGAAAAAATTAAGGTTCAGAGCTTAGTTAACTTATTTAATGTCTGATAGCAAGAGGGTTACAGAAATAGCAGTGGATGCAAGAAAGAGCAATGTCTGTGCATACAGGATGATTAGTTCAAAAAGTATTTTGTATTAGGCTGTTCCAGGTGTTAAAAATACAGGTGCTTTAAGCCCTGTCTTCTAGATATATATGAAAACAAATTACTATGGTCTGCATGTGTTCTCAATTATAAATGGAAGATAATCTATGAGTATGCAAAGGCATACAGAGTGATAAAATGAACATTGGAGACTCAGATGTGGGGAGGGTGGGAAGAGGTTGAGGGATGAAAAATTACCTTCTTGGTTCTATGTATACCATTTGGGTGATGGGTACACTAAAATTCCAGACTCCATCAATGTACAGTTATTCCATGTAACCCCAAACCACTGTTATTCCTAAAACTATTGAATTTCTTAAATTAAAATAAATAAATGAATTAAAAGGTAGAGCATAAAATGAATAAATAGTAAAAATAATCGTTATAGTAAAATGAGCGATAAATGATAATACATACAAAATATACCTTTGCAAGGTAAGTGAACATTGCCTTATTCTCAAATCTTAGAAAATACTTTCAAAAGTAACAATAATCTTTATGATTTCAACATTAGAAACTATACATATTTATATGTAGATGCATAGATAGTTAAATAGATATAGACTGACCAATAGGACATAAGAGAAAGAAAAGAGAGAGAAAAAAATGTTACTAGTTTTAAACTCATATTATAAATGATCGAATTTGCTAAAGAATAAAAGTTTGTACAAAAATTCTGAAATGAAGTTTATTCAGCTTATCTTTCCTGATTTGGTGGGGAAATCAATGTTAGGGAGAGGCTCACAAAGATATGAAAATAATGGCCACAATTTATGCTAAAACTATGACAGATTGCTTCCAAATGCACTGACATTTGCCCTAAACTATTCGTCTTTCATTTTTGTTTTTCTGCAAAGTTTTTCAGAATGGATAGTCCCTTCAATGATCAATAATTGGAGTGACAGAATAGGAAACAAATCCTTGAAAAAACCAGCAACATAAAACCAACAAGACAAAATAGAACAGCCTAGTGTGATGAAGCAAATAACTAACACTGGAAAGAACAAAGTTATAAAAATAGATGAAAAATAAAATTATAGAATAAATATAATTAACATAAGGAAAGAGAAACAATAGGATATTTTAGCTACTTAAGTTAAAAATTATTTATTTAAAAAGTTTGCTTTTGTAAAAAATAAAATCGATTCATATGAATTCTTTGTTGAAAAAAAAATACCCATGAATTTGTAAACTGGTAAAACAAAGTGATAATGTCTAGATAGAAACAAAAATATCTAAATACATATATGCATAGACAGCTAATAAGTGACAGAGATGAAAAATAGGGAAAAAAACACTTACGTTTATGAAGAATAGACATTCAAATTAATACTCCTGCATGCTTGGTGTTCCAGAAGAGAGAGAAAGAGACGGATAGATGAAATGTGCAACTGAAAAATAAGTAAAATTTGCCGAGTGAAGTCAATGTTCTCAGTTTTATAATACTCAAAAAGTGAATGAAAACTGTATTAATTTGAAAGTTTGCATTGAAGTATTAGCAAATTTTAATGTATATAAACCTTATAAAGAAATTGAAAAACTGACAAGTATAAAAATGGTAAGAAGATGTACTAATATATATGATGATCAATTATAAAAAATTAAATAATGATATCTTGTAGGTACAAAATAAAATACAAAATACAATTAAGATATAAATCAACAATCACATATGTGGAATTGTAAAACACCTGGATTATTCTGAAGAATAGTACAAATAAAAATTAACTTCAGATAATTATAATTTTAAAGTTTGTTGTAGTTTCAAGGGTAAATACTAAAAAATAAACATTTATTTTTTGAATCAGAATAGGAAAAATATTGCTGATTAAAAACTTATGTAAATGAATACAAGAAAGGCAAGACATAGACGAGCTAGATCAGATAAAAATATGGAAAAAATGCAAGATAAATTTAATGTACCTATATCTGTAATTAAAATAAAAAGCAATTAAAGATTAAAGAGTGAGGATTATTATTCTGAATTAAAAGGTAAAATCTAATTACATAATATTTACAAACAAAATTCACAGTAAATAACCTGCATTTCTCAATAAATTTCAAAACATGAATATACACAGTGAGATTTCTAATCATATTCATTATAATGAAGCTATAAATCCATAGTAGACAGCATCGGAAAAGCGCAGATATTTAGAAATTACAAAATACACTTTTTTCATTTTTATACTTTTAGGGGGTAAAAGTGCAGCTTTCTTACATAGATATATTGCTTAGTAGTGAAGTCTGGGCTTTTGGTGTACCTATTACCTGAACAGTGTACATTGGACCCAGTAAGTGAGTTTTCGTCCCTCACTCCTCTTACACCCTCCCATGTTTTGGAGTCTTCAGGATTTGTTGTTGTTGTTTTGTTTTGTTTTATGTTTTGAGACAGTGTCTCACTCTGTGGCCCAGCTGAAGTGCAGTGGCAAGATCTCATCTCACTGCAATCTCCACCTCCCAGGTTCAAGTGATTATCGTGCCTCAGCCTCCCAAGTTGCTGGGACTACAGGCATGTGCCACCACACCCAGATAACTTTTGTATTTTTAGTAGAGACGGGGTTTCACCATGTTGGCCAGGCTGGTCTTCAACTTCTGACCTCAAGTGATCCACCCACCTTGGCCTCCCAAAGTGCTGAGATCATAGGCATGAGTTGCTGCACCTGGCCCAGTTTTTATTGTTCTACTCTGTATGCCCATGTATCCACATTGTTTAGCTCCCACTCATGAGGACATGCAGTATTTGTTTTTCATCTTCTAACTTATTTTATTTAGGATAATGGCCACCGGTTCTATCAATGTTGCTGCAAGAAACATGATTTCATTCTTTTTTACAGGTGAATAGTATTCCACAGAAAAAAATATAAGTATATATTTTATATTATATATAAATATATAAAAATAAATATATATTTTTATATTATATATATATACACACACACACACACACACATATATATGTAACATATTTTCTTTATTCAGTCATCCATTAATGGACACTTAGGTTGATTCCATGACTTTGCTACCATGAATAGTACTGTGATAAACATACAGGTGCAGGTGTCTTTTTTATGTAATGATTTGCTTTCCTGTGGGTAGATACACACTAATGGGATTGTTGGATGAAATGGTATTTCTATTTTTAGCCCTTTGAGAAATCTCCATATTGTTTTCTTTACAGTTTATACTAATTTACATTCCCACTCACAGTGAAAAAGTATTTCCTTTGCTCCACATACTCAGCAACATCTGTAGTTTTTTTGACTTTCTAATACCCATTTTGACTGGTATGAGATCGCATCTTATTGTGGCTTTAATTTGCATTTTCCTCTTGATTAGTGATGTTAATCATTTTTTTTCTTATTGTCACCTGAATGTCTTCTTATGAAAAGTGTCTGTTCATGTCCATTGCCCACTTTTGAGTAAACTTACAGTTTTTCTTCTTTAGTTGTTTGAGTTCTTTTAGATTCTGCATATTGGTCCTTTATCAGATGTAGAGTTTGAAAATACTTTCTACCATAGATGTAATTTATCTATTTATGCTGTTGATTATTTATTTGGTTGTACAGAAGCTTTTTAGTCTAATTAAGTCCCATTTGTCTATTTTTGTTTTTGCTGCATTTGCTTTTGCAGTTTTAGTCAGCAATTTTCTGCCTACGTCAATCTCCTGAAGAGCTGTTCCTAGATTTTTTTCTAGATTTTTTGTCATTTCAGGTCTTATATTTAAGAGTTGGGGCTGAGACCAGTCCTGGCCAGGGCAGTTACCAGAACGGTCTCCGGAGGCCAGGATTTGTGGAGGGTCCACCAGCAGGAAGAAACCCCTGGAGGAAAACACCTCAGACAGATCGCCGGGGAGGCAGCACGGGATCCCAGCCTCAGGTGTGCGCTGAGGGTGTGCAGGTGAGTCTCTCCAAAAATGGTGCCCTTGTGATGTCAAGGACAGGTCTGCCTGTGTGCCCGTGGGCTGCTCTCTCACCGGTGGCTCGTAGTCGCGGAGAGCAGAACCCGGCAACTTCAGGGCCTGCCTGGGGGTGGGTGTTACCTACTGTATGTCTGTGTGCGTTATGGGGGTGTGTGTGCGTGTGTCTGTGTGTGTGTGCACGTGTGCATGTCTGTGTGCCCACTTCTGTCTCTCTCTTACGTCTCTCTCTCTCTCCCTTCTCGCTCTTTCCGTCGACCTCTCTTTCTCTCTCTGTCCGTCTGTGTGTGCGTGTGCCTTGGGACACATGTGCCCTGTGCGCCAGAGGGTGGGCTTCTTGCACGTCGGCCTTTCTTCTGGTCAGCCTCTCCCCGCGTCTCTGCCTGGGTCGTGTGGCCGGTTGGCAGTCGTTTTCCCGGCGATTCTGGTTTGGGGGTCTGTGAAGGCCTGGGCAATGTGGGCATCTGCGTCGGAGCCGCAGGGGTTTTCATCCCCTCCCCATCCGAAACAGCCTCTTTGCTAGGCTAGATCCAGACGACTGCTCCCCAACCCAGGACAACGGCCTCCCAGGCGCTCATTGTCCAGCCGCAGGAGGGTGCCCGCAGACCTTTAAGTAGATGGTTCTCACGCCTCTCGCCCTCTGCCCTCATCGAGAAATCTTGCCACAGCTCGACGCAGGGACGGAGAAGGAAGCCGGCAAGGGGATGGGGCAAGCATCTCTGTCACTCAAATGCTGGCGTTCGTGGCTGAGTCACCCGTTTGACACTCCTCCCCGGATGCCCGTGGTGGTGGCATGGCCCCGTATCCTGCCTGGGCTCTGGCCTCTGCTCTGTCCTCCCTCTTGCTGTGTCTGCCCCGTCTCTGAGAAGCCTGGCGGCTTCTTAGTCTGGCTCAATGTCTCCAACAAAGAAGACTTCCCAGTCCATCAGGGAGAAACCTCGTGGGGGTCCGTGTCATGATCGTTTCCCTCTCCACACCTCTTTCTGGATGATTGGGCAGGTGTGGTGATCCTGGAGCTCTGGGCTTCCATACCTGTGTGGGACAGGGAAGCTCTCTTGGTCTCCATGGCCCAAGTGATGGCTGCGCGCTTGGTCCAGGAAGAGGGGGAGGCAAGCCCACCGTTCCCGACATTGGCCTTCTAGGAAAGGCGGTGTTGCATCCCACCTGCACTTCCTGTCTGATCCTTGAGAGCCAACCGGTTCCTCCGCTCCTGGGGAAAGTGCCTTCTAGCAGTGAATCTTTTGGCTGCTACGGATGTCAGGGAGCCAACGGGACTGGGTTTTGGCTGGGTGCAGGGGAGGTTGCGTCAGGGGTACCTAAGCGGTAGCGGCGTGGGGGTGGGGTGTACTTGGTCCAAAGCTCTGGGCTCCTCTGGCGGGCCTCCCTGAATGTGGCCTGGACTCGCGCACAGGCCCTGCCTCGCAGGTTTTCAGGAGCGCTTGGCTTTTCCTCCGCTTTGTGGGGCAGGTCTCCAGTGGCCCCCGGGCGCACGCCTGGAAATCCCTGTCCGTCTCGTCGTTGCCCCCTATGGCCTCAAAGACACACGCTCACTGCCTGTGCTCTTGGGGGACGTCAGTGCCACGTGTGGTCACACGGGCTCCAGCTCGGACTCGCCTCTGTCTGTCTTTGCCGGTGTCGCCAGAAGCCGCGTCGGGATGCCGGAGCCCCCGGGCCTTGGAGATGAAGGCAGGCCCCTGCTCCACCCAGGAAGGTGGGAGGCAGTGGGCTCATGGGTCAGTGCCTTTGCAGCCGACCACACGCCTTGCGGCCCTGGGGATCTTTCTGTGCCCCAGCGAGACCCTTTCCGCCTCACTGCATTATGACCCCATTGCCGATCGCCCGGTGGGATCCATCATCGGATCCCAAGAGGAGTCCGCGCAGCCCAGCCAGCACCCCGAAGCTCCTCCTTCCCCGGGAACCGAAGCAGAAGAACGATCAAGGAGGTCCTGACGACAGGACTCCTACGGGTCCGACCCTGGGTCTCCCGCAGGCCCCTCTGGTAGTCCTCTTCCCACCCGCCGCCTGGGGCTGCGCCGCAGCCGCCACCGCCGCAACCTCCGTCACCGCCGCCCCAGTCCCCGCAGCCGCCATGTCGCCGCCATTTTTTAAAGGGTCCGCAGCCTGACTCTGCCGAGTAAGGGGGGTGCGGCGGGTGAGTCGGCCTCGCCAGTGCGCATGCGCGAGGCCCCAGCCCCCGGCTTTGGTCACAGTGACCGCCACCGTTGCCCGGGGATGGGTCCCTGAGACTTGGCGAAGTAGGAGCCCTGTGTGATCGTGCGTCAGAGTCGGGGCTGAGACCAGTCCTGGCCAGGGCAGTTACCAGGACGGTCTCCGGAGGCCGGGATGCGCGGAGGCTCCACCAGCAGGAAGAAACGCCAGGAGGAAGAAACCTGAGACAGATCGCCGGGGACGCAGCGCGGGATCCCAGCCTCAGGCTTGCGCGGACGGTGTGCGGGTGAGTCTCCCCAAAAGTGGCGCCCTTGTGATGTCGAGGACAGGTCTGCCTGTGTGCCCGTGGGCTGCTCTCTCTCCGGTGGCTCGTAGTCGCGGAGATCAGAACCCGGCAACTTCAGGAGCTGCCTGGGGGTGGGTGTTACCTGCTGTATGTCTGTGTGCGTTATGGGTGTGTGTGTGTGTGTGTGTGTGTGCGCGTCCGCGCGTGCGTGTCTGTGTGCCCACTTCTGTCTCTCTCTTACGTCTCTCTCTCTCTCTCCCTTCTCGCTCTTTCCTTCGCCCTCTCTTTCTCTCTCTGTCCGTCTGTGTGTTCGTGTGCCTTGGGACACGTGTGCCCTGTGCGCCGGAGGGTGGGTTTCTTGCACGTCGGCCTTTCTTCTGGTCAGCCTCTCCCCGCGTCTCTGCCTGGGTCGTGTGGCCGGTTGGCAGTCGTTTTCCCGGCGGTTCCGGTTTGGGGCTCTGTGAAGGCCTGGGCAAAGTGGGCGTCTGCGTCGCAGCCGCAGGGGTTTTCATCCCCTCCCCATCCGGAGCAGCCTCTTTGCTAGGCTAGATCCAGACGACCGCTCCCCAAGCAAGGACAACGGCCTCCCAGGCGCTCATTGTCCAGCCGCAGGAGGGTGCCCGCAGACCTTTAAGTAGATGGTTCTCACGCCTCTCGCCCTCTGCCCTCATCGAGAAATCTTGCCACAGCTCGACCCAGGGACGGAGAATGAAGCCGGCAAGGGGATGGGGCAAGTATCTCTGTCCGTCAAAGGTAGTATAGAAGTCCAGCACAGAGGCATATCCATTATTGTGCCCACCACCTCATCTTCGGGCTTGGTGAAGGGCAAGTGGCACTGCAGGAAATAGTAGCCTGGTTCTCTGTCCTTAAGTAGTTCCAAGATTGCTGTCCACACCAGTACTTGGGCTTGTGAGAGTGGAGGGCCCTCCAACAGTTCAGAAACAGGCAGTCTGCCGTAGGGGTGAGAGGAGCAAAAGACACCCCCACGTATTCTTTTCCATGTTACACCAAGTCCCTCAGAGTATAATCTCTGCTAGATTCTTACTTCCTTATTTTTCTGTGTTCAAGTTCCTTCTTGTGGTTCTCTGAGAGGCTCTAGCACTCTCCCCTCAATATACATATTGGAATTAACTATTATTTATCCATAACTTTGCTTTCTCTTTCTTCGAATAACTAGAGTCCAATATCTATAGTCCTTCATATTGAAGAAAAACCTCAGAAATATACTTCTTAGTAACTCACCACCCAAGAGCAAATCATAATGGAAATTATAAAATATTTTTAATTAAAAAATATTTACTACAGTATAAAATGTTTCATTTTAGAGGGAAATTTAGAACCTTAAATTCTTATTTTATGAGGGCAGCAAATTAATATTTGAAATGTTTTGAATTTATTTGAAGAACTTAGAAATGTCATCAGAAATAAAAGGAAATAAAAAATACATGCATAGTCATTAAGAATACAGGGAAAGGAAAGTCAAGAAATATGACCAAAAGTTTGTTAGTTGTTTTAGGAGCCATACAATAACAAAACTGTGGAGAAATGGCTTGATAAAAATAAGAGAAGAAACAAGTATGCATTTTCAGGAATCAAAATAGGAAATAATTATACATCTTGTGTGAAGAATTTTTTTTGTTGTTTGGAAAGGATCAGTTGTTAAATATTTTAGGTTTTTGGGCTATATGGTTTGTTGTAACTAATTAATTCTATTGTTGTGGCATAAATTGACAATATGTCAATGAATGAGCATGACAGTGTTGTATTAATACTTTATTTATAAGTACTGTCTGGCTTATTGGCCACAATTTATTGAGTTTTGTTATAAAAAATACAAATATCAAGAAGGTAAATTAGTGTAGTATGAAAACGTTTAATTCAATAAATTTGGAAATATATGTAAAATGTGTACAATTACTTGAAACATGCATTTTTCCAAAAGTAACCTAAAGTGAAAAGAAAAATCTGAGTTGTGCTACAACAAATGCATTTAATCAGTAGTCAGAAATCATCTCATAAAGATAATTTCAAGCCATGATGACTTTACTGGCAAGTTGTATCAAACATGAAACAAAACAATAATTCCAATCTTACATAGAATTCTTTCTGAGCATGAAACAGGAAAGAATATACTCTATTTCATTTTATTATGCTATTATGACTCTGATATTATAACCTGACCAGGATAGTAAAGGGAAAGGAAATTAAACACCAATGTAATTTATGAAAATAATGAAGGAAAACTTAAAAAACTACCATGCAGAAATAAGCAATGCATTAAAATGTAAGACATCACAGCCAATGTTTATTCTAAGAAACCCTGGGAAGCAATAATGGCCTCATATAAAGGTATCAATTAATATGATACACCACAACAAATAACTTAACAATATTATAAGCATATTTAATTTTATTTTCTTAAAAAGTCATACATTTTAACAATCCCAAATTAAAAGAGAATCTAGTTTAACTGATAACATTTGTTTTCAAAAGTTCTATTGAAATTATAACACTTAACAATGGAATGTTAAAATATTTCCTTTGTGATTGGGAACAAAATAAACATAGATGGTACAAGCAATTTTATTTATCCTTTTGCAGGTCTTAGACACTGGGATAGGATTGTAAATATTAAAAAAATAAGAATTATGAAAGAGAAAACAGATTACTATGTTACCAATGACACTAAGTACACAGAAAATTCAAAATGATTGTAAGATACATTATACTAATGAATATGAGCTTTTAGCAAGATGCTTTGACACAAACGTATTATGCAATATTGAAATGCATTTCCAATAAGTAGAGAACCTTATTTAGATGTGTCAATGTGGCTTACTCTCACAAACATAATATTTAGTGGTATGATTAAGTCACAAAAGAATATGTACAGTATAACTCAGTTTAAATAAAGTTCAAATAAACATAGACATAACATTGACATAAATATATTCTTGAATCGAAAGACCTTAATGAAATCACTTGTCCCCAAAATTAATCTTTGTAACTAGTGCATCCAAAGTAAAACCCAGTAAGGTTTGATTTAGATATTGACAAGCTAATTCCAGAATTTATGTAAACTCTAAAAATATTAAAATTCAGTTAATAATTTATTGAGGAAGAAAGAATATATTACAGGAAATATTATAAGACTTAATTAATGCAATGTGGTATTAACAAAGTAATAAATAATCAATGAAATGAAATAGGTAGACTACAGTAAGGAAAATATTTATAAGAACCTGTGATATGTAAGAAAGCTAGTATTATAGATCAGTGGTGAAAAATAAATTTGCCAATAAATGAGAGTGAGAAAACTGGTTATACATATGAAAAATAATTAAAGTGATTCTTTACCTTATATAACACCTAACAGTCAATTCCTTGGCGATCAATATTTAAATGTAAAGCCAGGCAAAAATTACAGAAAACCCGACAGTTAAACAAACAAAATGGCTTGTACATGTGCTTTATTAAATGTATAATATAAGTGTCCACCATACATTTTAGAATCACTTTAACTTATTTTTAACACAAAAATGCAAATGAAAATGTTTTATATGTACATTATTACTTATACAACAGATTGACCAAAAAAAGTCTGACAAGAAAGACTTCTGGCAAAGATATAGAGCAATAATAATTTCATATGCTTTCCTGGAAATGGAAATTATATCCATTTTAAAAAGAGGCTTGTATTACTCAGTAATATTGAAGATGACCATATATTCTAATCAACAATTGACTTTCACTCCTTATTTTGTATGTACGTGATTGGCCATTAAGAAATGTGATCCAAAATATTTACAGGCTCAGTTAAGTACTATAAACAATGCAAAAGTTAAACAACAGTAGAATGTGGTAGATTAATACAGTGGAATACTACACTTTAGAAAAAAATAGATAACTTTATTTAGGTATGTTAATGTGGCTTACTCTCACAAACATAATATACAGTGGTATGATTAAGTCACAAAAGGATATGTACAATATAATTCAGTTTAAATAAAGTTCAAGAACACAAAACAGCAAGTTGGATTGTTTATAAAAGGTTTACTGGACACTAAATCTATAAAGGTAATAATAGAAATTATTTTAACACATCCTTCAATTACCTTTCATTCCTCCAGAAATTTGTTGAAACCCCTTGAATGCCTATGACCTTTCTCATTTCCTCCACTGTTTAATTTCCTTTTATACTTTGTTTAAAACTTTGAATGGACATATGAGAGATGAAGTCATATTTTTCTAAATAAGTTCAAAAATATTTTGCTTTAAAATATAAGTAGTGATTAAATTTCTAAGAATTGAGCAATAGTTGAATGTTATAAATTTAGTTTTCATGAGTATTTCTCTCTCCACATTTCTTCTTCTCAACTTGCTCATATCCCTTCAAATGACAAAATACTTAGAAGTATTTGAGTCAAGTTAGATATATTTTTGAAGATATTATTTGCTTATTTATCTATGAGAGGTCAACAACAACTTCCATGAATATTAGGAAAGCAAATGTCGGTAGCTCTATTCACTTCAATATTTAATTCACCTATATCTGAAATTTAAATGTCAGTGATAAGAGTGACAGAAAGTGACAATTTCTTTAGGTAACACAGCACTAGGTGGCAATACTTTAATATTGTCACTATTACATTTTTCAGATATACAATGTATACTTTACCAAGAATCCTAGTCTATTATGTTCTAAGGATGAGCTGTCTTTATACGAATTCACAATAAATAGCTGTGTAAATAAGAGTTACCATTTTTATTTTATAGCATAAAATGTATTTCAAATAGTTGTACAAATCAGATATGTTATAAAAGAAACGTCTTTCCTATTATTGAATTACCCAAAGTTGCTTACCTAACATAGAATCTTGTGGAGGAAAATAGGCCAGTGAAATTCAGTGATTATTCATTATGATCAAGGTGATTAGTACAGAAATCTCCATGACTATTCTGTGCAGTGTCTTTTCTTTAACAATATTTTATAATCATTCTTATTTTTACTTTCTGTAGACAAATCCTTTCTTGTTTTGCCTCCTTTTAGGTACTTTTGGGATTATAAAGTATATAGTAAAAACAAATGCACACACAAAACTATTCGGTTGGTATACTTAATTCTGTTAGAATAGATTTAGTCTAGGTGTATTCCAGTGGTTTCTTACTGAGAGTCCATCCTAGTCCCCTCATTATTACTTGAGTGTTCAATGATGGTTTTTCCTTCTTGTTAACAGGAAATAGTTTTGGTTTCTGCTAAAAATGGCAGTTGCCACCAGTATGTGTGAGTTTTATTTTATTTCTTAGAAAATAACTATATTTTATATTTTGTGAATATCTTAGTTGTGCATTTAATTTGCTAAGCAGAATCAATGCAATCACTATCATATTCTATAGTTTTTCCTAACAGATTGATAGAGTAAAATGTATGGTTTTCTAATTTTTAGCATGTGTGTCCAATAAAATGACTTTATATAATTTTTTTCTTGTTGGTTCATTTTTTTTCCAATCAAAGTTTCTCCTTTAGTTTCTCATATAATTGATTCAAAACTCCTAAGTGATGATCACAGTAACCTTAGGTATTTCTTAATTCTCCATAATAAATATAGCATCTGAGTCTAATTTCTTCTGGGAGATTTATTAACTTTTAAGATAGCATGTGTCACTTACATAATCTAACAATGCATTTTGCATACTAAAATGATGAAACATTCTTAATGAATTTAAATAGCTACTTTATCAGAAACAGGAGTCATAAGTTGAATTTTTATGTGAGTAGTAGAGCTAAGAATATTTGTAGAACAGCTCTCCATGATGGGCTCCAACAGGATGAAGTAAGACCACCTATCAAGGAAGTAAGATCAATCCCAAAATGAACTGTACATGAAATTCTGCTCTAAGATCTTTTTGCTTTTTAAAATGATTTCAGAAAAGGCTAATTTTTGTAATGGACTACAATACTTGTTTTGCTACATAAGCTTTTAGGATTTTTTTCTTTTATTTTTATTTTAAAATTAATTTTTGAGCAGCATTCTTGACTGCAAGAAAGCTTCTGTCAGTTTCCCAAATTACTCAAATAACATGTATTTTACACTGAAAATCATGAGCTCCTTAACTCAAAGCTTTTCCTTGCTGTTTTCATAACTATTTACCATACAATTACTTGTAAATGAAATGTATAACATAAATATGAGCTAACATAAAGGAAAATGTTTAAATATTTTTTAAACTTCTGAAAAAAGATAAAACTCTCGGTTTTTAAGAACATTGTATCTTTCATTTTATCCTTCTTTCTCCTCCAAATATATTAATAACTATCCTTCTATTTGTTACCTTCTTTTACTTAAAGGGACTAAAGTATAAACCAGGTAATTAATACACAAAACTTTATTCTGTCCCTTGCTTGTAGCACTACTTCATTCCAGTTTCCTCAGAGTTTATTATACAAATCAGACAGATTTGTAAATAAGTATTTTACAGTCTACATTTATTTGATTATGAAAATGGAAACATAGAATAAAATGTGAACAGATAATAAGCTTTACTTTTGTGTTTCTCCATCTTTTCAAGTTGATCAGGTATATGGATGGCATTTTAAATAATGTGTTAAATTTAGAGAATACATTAAATGGAAAAGAAAATTGTGGGAAATAGGAAAGCCTTTCCATTAAGGGTTTAGATATAAAATGTTCTATTCAGTCACAAACTAAACCTAAAATGAGAGATTTTTTTTGTTTAACTGAAAGAGCTAGAGAGTAATTAAAGGTAATTGGCATGTTATTATTCTTAAAAGGTTCGCTTTTCTGTTCTAAGAATACCAGGGAACAATTGAATAGATAAAAAGCAAACTATAAATTGCCAAATAGATCTTTTGTATAATAATACATCTCCCAAGACAAAAGATATTTCAGACCCATAAAAAATAAGGGAAGTGTATTTGCCTGACTGGTCTTGCATCTTGCCTGACCACAATGAATTTGCATCAGATTTTAAACTCCCAGAGTGATAAAATATCTTAATGTGTTAAGAGGGAATCAAAAGTGAATGTGATTAACTTGAAGGAACTAGTTGGCAGACTTTAACATTAGGCTAGTAGAAACTATTTAATAAATAAAACTGAAAGCAGAAAAATACTTTTCTTAAATAATTATTAGTGGCAGATTGATACTGTTAATATTATTGATTCAATATGGGAAGTCCTCCCTCTTGCCCTTTCTCTACCCAGATATTGCATACTTTTGCAAAATAAGAACAATACAAACTATTATTATTATTATTATTTATTTGTTTTTTTTTTTTGGAGACAGAGTCTCGCTCTATCGCCCAGGCTGGAGTGTAGTGGCGCGATCTTGGCTCACTCAACCTCCGCCTCCCGGGTTCACTCCATTCTCCTGCCTCAGCCTCCCGACTAGCTGGGACTGCAGGCTCCCGCCACCATGCCCGGCTAATTTTTTGTATTTTGTTTAGTAGAGACGGGGTTTCACCGTGTTAGCCACGATGGTCTTGATCTCCTGACCTCGTGATCCGCCCGCCTCGGCCTCCCAAAGTGCTGGGATTACAGGCTTGAGCCACTGCGCCCGGCCACAAACTCATTATTCAGTCACTTATTTACTACTCTATTCCTCAATGAACTCTTTTGTAGACTTCTACCCCATCTATAACCAATGCAGTGGTACTCCTCCCTCTCATATTTAATTTCTCAGCTCAAGTAAGACTTCCTCAGAGTTTTAATCCAATTAATCTTAATCTAATTAAAATAGAAACCCTTACCCATTTATTCTGTCCAAAGCAACATGTTTCCCCTCCCGTCCCCTTCCCCTCCCCTTCTCTTCCCCTTCTCTTCCCCTTCCCTTCCACTTCCTTTCCTTCCCCTTCTTTCCCCTTGCCTTCCTTCCTGCCTTCTTTCTTTTCCTTCTTTCTGTCTTTTCTAATACAAGGCTTGACCACTGGGGTAAAATTGTCAAAATGTAAAAAGGAGATAATTAAAAAATAAATAGTACCTAAGTAGTATGCTAAAATATACATGGGGCAAGATAATCTTTGCATTTTATCCTTGGGTGCATTCTGGACCACTTTAATCTTTTTTTTTTTTTTTTCCTAAGACAGACTCTCTCTCTGTCATGCAGGCTGGAATGCAGTGGCACCATGATGACTCACTACAGCCTCCACCTCCCAGGCTCAAGTGATTAATCTTAAATAGTGCAATTATTCTATTTAATCACAAATGTCAGCATCTCTTTTCTTTAGTTTTGGCACATGATTTTCACCTTTTATCCTCTCTCTCTCTCTCTCCATGCTTCATTATATTAGTTCCCTAGGCTACCACAACAAATTGACACAAACTAAATGACTTCAACAACAGCAATGTATTCTAAAACAGTTCTAGAGGCTAGAAGTCCTAAATACAGTGGGGCCACACTCGCTCTGAGGTCCCTAGAGAGAATCCATTCTGTGGATCTTCCAGCTTCTGGGGGCTGCCAGCATTCCTTTACTCATGCCAGCATTCCTTTACCCCAGCTTCTGGGGGCTGCACCACTCCAATCTCTGCTCCCTGGTCACATTGCCTCCTCTTCTGTGTGTCAAGTCTCCCTCTGACTCACTCTTAAAAGAACATTTGTCAGGCCAGGCACAGTGGCTCATGCCTGTAATCCCAGCAATTTGGGAGGCCGAGGAGGGTGAATAACTTGAGGTCAGGAGTTTGAGACCAGCCTGGCTAACATGGTGAAACCCTACCTCTAATAAAAGTACAAAAATTATCTGGGCATGATGGCAGGCACTTGTAATCCCACTCCTCAGGAGGCTGAGGCAGGAGAATTGCTTGAACCCGGGAGGTAGAGGTTGCAGTGAGCAGAGATCGCACCACTGCACTCCTCCAGCCTGGGTGAAAGAACAAGGCTCCATCTCAAAAAAAAAAAAAAAAAAAAAAGAAGAAGAACATTTGTCATTGAATTAAAGACCCGTGAGTATATTTCAGAATAAGCCCCTTCCCTTAAAGTCCTTAACTTAATCACAAGCATTGCCATATAAGGTAATATTCACTGTTTAACGTGTCATTATATTCAAAGATTCCAAGGATTAACGCGTCACATATCTTTTAGAAAAAACTATTCGGCCTACTAAACTCGATGTGTCTTCATCTACTGAGACTCAGGCCGAGTCAGATAAAAAGCTTTACAATATTCCACACCTCTCTCTACAGGTGTTAAAAACAAGGAGAAAGAGTTTCTCTTAAAATTTTAAGTTCACTAAAAATAGAACAAAAGCAGAAACAATTGAGGTTTTTGTGGTTGTTGCTGTTTGTGTCTTTATTTTTAAAGATTCTACTTTGTACCATATACGCATGGTAAATTATTCATTATCATATCTGCTCCTTTTTTTTCATTTGAAGTAATCATATTCCATGGAAAATATTTAAATTCGCAGGCATTGTTAGTTGTAGAGCTCATAAAATGTTCAATGCTTCAGTGAGTTGCAAATTGAAAACAGAAATAAATTCTTGGAGAAAAACTTGACAGTATTCTACACACTTTGCTCTTGATTGATGTCATATGGTGATTCCAATAGATGACTTTTTTCAAACAACTTAAACTATAACTGATTTAAGTAAATGGGGGTGCAATGGTTCTTTCTTATAGATCTCATCTGGTGAGATGCTATACACAGAATTTCAATCATCTTACCCTATGACTTTTCAAAGGTGTATAAGAATGAATAATAATATTATTATTCATTATTATTTATTCTAAAAATAAAAATAATCATAATATTCATTCTAAAAATAAATTTTTGTTTATTATTAATAAAATAACATATTATAAGGATACATTTATGTATTACAATCATGAAAATATTTAGAATGTACCATTTTCTAGGTAGTAAACTAGTGCTTCATGTATTTTTGTTCATTTAGTCTTTATTTTTATAAGTCAACAACTATAGATATTATATTATTTATACTTTATAAAATATAATAAAGACATTTTAAAATATATAATATCAAACATATATTATAAAGTATTACATTATAAAATACTATATTTTATAAAGTAGATGACTATTGATATAGTCATTATATAGATGAGTAAACTGAGGAATATTGTTTCTGTAAAAACCTCTCACGCCTGTAATCCCAGCACTTTGGGAGGCCGAGGCGGGCGGATCACGAGGTCAGGAGATCGAGACCATCCTGGCTAACACGGTGAAACCCCGTCTCTACTAAAAATACAAAAAATTAGCCGGGCGTGGTAGCGGGCGCCTGTAGTCCCAGCTACTCGGGAGGCTGAGGCAGGAGAATGGCGTGAACCCGGGAGGCGGAGCTTGCAGTGAGCCGAGATCGCGCCACTGCACTCCAGCCTGGGCGACAGAGCGAGACTCCGTCTCAAAAAAAAAAAAAAAAAAAACCTCAAGAGCGCACATAAAATAAATGCTGCAGACAATGAGCCAAAACATCATACTAAGGATTTTGCTTCCAGAAGCTGCACTCTTAACTACTAGGCTCTAATGCCTCTTTTTATATAAATGATATCATACCATTTGTTCTCTTTTGATCTGTCTTCTATTAATTAGCATATTTATTGAGATTAATCTATTTTATAGTATGGATGAAAGTTTCATTTCTTTTATTGCTTATAGTATTTCAAAATATGGATATATCAAAGCTTGCTTATTCATTTATCTGTTAATGAAAATTTGATTGTTACATGCTCTTCACTATTAGCCCCTCTCTCCCATAAAAAAGTGCTGTGAATGTTTTGGTACAAGTTTTTTATGTACATATACTTTCATTTCCCTACAAATTGATTGGCAGTCATATGATAGGTGCATACGTCAAAATATTTTAAAAACTGACAAGCCTTTTTCCAGAGTCATTGTACTAATTTCCATTACCATTAGCAGTGCATGTATGTTGGTTGTCCTCTATAGTTTTGCCAACACTTGGCATGGCCAGCCTTTTTAACTTTAGCCATTCTTTTTTCTTTCTTTCTTTTTTTTTTTTGAGACGAAGTTTCACTCTTGTTGCCCAGGCTGGAGTGCAATGGCGCGATCTCGGCTCACTGCAATCTACACCTCCGGGATTCAAACAGTTCTCCTGCCTCAGCCTCCCAAGTAGCTGGGATATAGGCGCGCATCACTATGCCCCGCTAAGTTTTGTATTTTTAGTGGAGATGGGGTTTCACCATGTTGGTCAGGCTGGTCTCGATCTCTTGACCTCCCAGAGTGCTGCGATTACAGGTGTGAGCCACCACACCTGGCCTCTTTTTTTCTTTTTTGAGATGGGTTCTTGCTCTGTCACGCAGGCTGGAGTGTGTTGGCACAACCATAGTTCACTGCAGGCTCCACCTCCTGGGCTCAAGTGATTCTCCCACCTCAGCTTCCGAGTAGCTGGTACTACAGGCATGTGCCACCATGCCTAGCTAAATAGAGACACCAAGCCATGTCTCTTTCTTTTTGGTAGAGACAGGATCTCACTATGTTGCCTAGGCTGCTCTCTAACTCCTGGGGTCAAGAAACCCTGCTGCCTTGACCTTCCAAAGTGCTGGGATTACAGGCTTGAGCAACTGTACCCAAACCATTTTTGACAGACACAGATTAATTCCCTAATGACTAATGATATTGAGGATCTTTCCATGTGTTTACTTTCTATCTACGTATGTTCTTTAGAGAAGAAGTATTCATTTAAGTCGTTTGCCTACTTTTATTAGAGTTGCTAGATTTATTATCAAGTTTTGAGAGTTCTTATATTTTCTGGACACAACTTTTTTGCCAGACATATATTTTGCAAATATTGTTCTCAGTAGTGTCTTATATTTCTATTTGTTTTACAGTGTTTTCTGAGGAACATATGTTTTACATTTTGATGAACTCGAGTTGTCAATTTCTACTTTGATGAAACATGGTGTTTGTGTCATGTCTAAGTAGTATTTATTAGCCTGAGGTCAAAGACTTTTCTATATTTTCTCCTATACGTAATTTTTCTTCCTTTTTTTTTCACTTTGTTTTTACATTTTACATTTAGGCATATGATCTGTACTAAATTCATCTTTGTATCATGAGTTACGTGTCAAAGTTCTACTTTTTGCATATGAGTATCTAACTGTTCCAGCAGAATTTGTTGAAGGGCTATCTTTTATTTACTGAATTACGTTTGTATCTTTGGAGAACACCAATTTACCAAAATTCTGTACATATATTTCTGAATTTTCTATTATCTTCCAATGACATTTCTGTCTATCTTTATGCCAATATCACACTATTTTCATTACTGTAGCCTTATAAGCTTTGGCATTAGATTGTGCTAATCCTTCAAAAATATTCTTATTTTTAAGAATTATTTTGGCTATTTTAGACTCTTTGCATTTCTACTGAAGTTTTAAAATTAGTGTGTAAATTCCTATAAAACAATGCCTAATAATATTTTAATTGGGATTGTATTGAATCTATATTTAGGCATAATCACATTTTACCATGTGAATTTTCTAACCCATATTCATATTATATCTCTCCATTTATTTAAGTCTTCTTTAACTTTCTGCAGTGTTTTGAGTTTTAGTGTACCAGACTCTCACATCATTTGATAGATTAATTCCTAATTCTTCTACATTTTTCATGATATTATTAATAGTACTTTTATTTTAATTTTTTATTGTTCATTGCCGGTATATGGAAGTATTAGTTTAATATGTTGCTTTTTTTCTTTTTTATGTTGCTAACTCACTTATTATAGCCAGCAGTGTTTTTGTAGATTTCAGTGGACTTTCTACATAGACATGCCGTCTATAAATAAAACCAATTTACGTTTTCCTTTCCTGTCTGGAATTCTTTTGTTTATGTTTTTTGTCTATTGTACTTGGTAGAACATCTAGTGGAATGTTAAAACAAAGTGCTAGGAGTTAACGGACTCATCTTGTTCCTGAAATAGGGGGAAATAAACTGATTTTTCTTCATTAAGTATGATGCCAGCTATTGTTTTTACATAGATATCCTTTATTAGGATATTCTTGAATTTCTTCTAGACAGTAATAACTTAGATCTTGTTTTATTGATCCAATCTGCTTTTAAATTGGTATATTTAGACCATTTATATGTAATGTGGTTATGCGTGCATATATATATATATATATATATATATATATATATATATACATACATTTTTTTTTTCTTTTTTCTTTTTCTTTCTTTTTTTTTTTTTTTTTTTTGAGACAGAGTCTCACTCTGTTGCCCACACTGGAGTGCAAGTGCAATGCGATGATCTTGGCTCACTGCAACCTCTGCCTCCTGGGTTCAAGCCATTCTCCTGCCTCAGCCTCCCAAGTAGCTGGGACTACAGGTGCCCGCCACCATGCCTGGCTAATTTTTTGTATTTTTAGTAGAGATAGGCTTTGACTATGTTGGCCAGGCTGGTCTTGAACTCCTGACCTTATGATCCGCCCACCTCAGTCTCCCAAAGTGTTGGGATTATAGGCATGAGCCACCGCACTGGGCTATTTTTAGTTTTAAACCTATTATTTTGCTTTTGCTTTCTATCTTTCCTGAAGGAATTCAGAACCAGATACCCCCAAACATGCCACTTTGGCATATTGATTTTTTTGAGTTAAAGACACTTGAAAAACAGCAGATGCAAGAAAAGCACTCTGATTTTCCTTTTTCTTAAAAGCAGGAGGTAAAATTTCTACATGAAAGTTGCCCTCTTTATACAAGAAGGAAAGTAACAGTCTCATCACCCAGGATGAGAAGTTGAGGCAAGGGAAACCTGTACAAACAGACCTTGTTAAACCAACCCTTATCCTGTTAATCAACTCTTCACCCAATTAACTACACTAGTTCCAGCTCCTTTGTCTTGTCATATTTCACAATTTACTACTCTGTGTCTACTTCAGAACATAAGTGATTATGTCATTGAGCCTTCCTTAAAGAATCTCTCATGCCACATAATACATGTATTAAATAAATTTGTATGCATTTTCCTGTTGATCTGTCTTATATCAATTTAATTCTCAGGCTTAGCAGAGGGGGAAAAAAAAACTAAGAAGATGGTAATAAAATTTTGCTTCCCCTACCATCCCATCTGTGTTTTGCTTATTTTCCCTCTTGTTTGCCTTCTTTTCTATGAATTAAATACATTTTATGGTTTCATCTTATCTCCTTTTTTACTTGAGAATTAAAACTCTCTATATTGTTAATTTTAATGGTTGCTTTTGAGTTTGTAGTATACATCTATAACTCATCACATTCTACCTTCAAATTATAATATACTACTTTACATACAGTATCATGAAGTAACATTTTCATTATTTTATCCTGTTGTTCTGTTATTGTCATGTAATTTATTTTTATATAGGTTGTAAACTCATTATAAATTGTTATTATTCTTGTTTACATTCGAGGTTAATAATGTTGTTTTCTTCTCTCTCTTTCTTTTTTTTTTTTTTTTTGAGACAGAGTCTAGCTTTGTACCAGGCTGGAGTGCAGTGGTGCCATCTCAGCTCACTGCAACCTCTGCCTCCCGGGTTCAAGCGATTGTCCTGCCTCAGCCTCCCGAGTAGCTGGGATTACAGGCATGTGCCACCACACCCAGCTAATGTTTGTATTTTTAGTAGATACGGGGTTTCATCATGTTGCCCAGGATGGTCTCAATCTCCTGACCTCGTGATCCGCCCACCTCGGCCTCCCAAAATGCTGGGATTACAGGCATGAGCCACTAGAACCGGACATGCTTTTCTTAAAAGCTAAATATTTTAGGCTTGTGTGCCATTAGGCTCTGTTACAACTACTTAATTCCGCTTTTGTAATTCTATAGCACCCATTGATAATACATAAACAAATGAGCATGAATGTGTGTCAGTAAAAATTCGTTCACATAAACAGGCAGTCCACCCATGAAGCTATAGCTTGCTGACCCCTTGTTTAAACAATCAATTGAATTCAAACAGAAATAAAAGGATCTTATATATTTAACCATGTTGATACCATTTCCAGTGCTTTTCATTCTTCTATGTAGATCCAAATTTCCTTTTGATATTATTTTACTTCTGCCTGAAACATTTTCTTTAACATTTTTTATAGTGTTGTTTTACTGGTGATGATTTCTTTCAGGTTCTAAGTGCCTGAACAAAATCTTTATTTCACCTACATCTTGAAAGATAGTTTCTCTGAGTCTACAATTTCCAGCTGACAATGTTTATCTTCCAATACTTTAAAGATGTTGCTTCATCATCTTCTAATTTTCTTTGTTTCCAATAAAATGTTTGCTGACATTTTTTGTTCCTCTGTGCAAACCGTGTTTTTGTCATTGGCTGCTTTGAGAATTTTTCTTTATCACTAGTTTTAAGCAATTTTATTTTAGTGTATTTTGTGCACAAGACAAGGATGCCCTCTCTCACCACTCCTGTTCAACATAGTATTGGAAGTCCTTGCCAAAACAGTTAGGCAAGAGAAAGAAATAAAGGGTACCCAAATAGGAAGAAAGGACGTCAAACTATCCCTATCTGTAGATTACATGATCCTTTATGTAGAAAACTTTATAGGCCCAAAAGCTTACGGCCCGAAAGCTCCTTAAGATGAAAAACACCTTTGGCAGAGTCTCAGGATACAAAAAGAACATACAAAAATTACTAGCATTCCCATAAACCAACAAGAGTCAAGCGGAGAGCCAAATCAGGAATGCAATCTCATTCACAATTGCTGCAAAAAGAATCAAATACCTAGGAATACAGCTAACCAGTGAGGTGAAAGATCTCTGTAAGAACTAAAAACACCAAAGATATCAGAGAGGATGAAACAAATGAAAAAACATTCTATGCTCATGGATAGGAAGAATCAATAAAATGGCCATATTGTCCTTATTTTCAAGTATGCTATTGCGCTCTATGACTGATCGAAACTCCTGCCAGACATAATTCTAAAAATCTGTTTGTTAATTTTATTATTTTATTTTTGGATTTTTAAATGCTTGGGAATTGGGAGATATGCACAATTGTCTTTGCTTTGTCCACAAAATTAAATGCGTATTTGGGTACTTATAGGACACTATTTGTAAAAACATTTATTTCTTCAGACATTGATGGTCTTGTCCCAGTTATTAACAACATTTACTTGTTTAAGAATAAATTTTCTTTTCTATCTACTTCTTTTTCCATTGAAAATTACCTTTCTATCCTCCTACTCTGGAAGTCTTTATGATTCTGTCCTAATAATTAGTGTCCCATTGCTTCTTCAAGAAATGTCTATCAGAATTTCTCCATTAATATAAGTTGATACTTCTATGAAAACTTTAAATCTCAAGTCTACAGTATTTCTAGTTCTAAAAAATATTTAAATTAGTTCTTTAATTATTTCTGTCTTTATGTTTACTTTCCTTTTTTTCTAGTATTTTAAACAACTTTATGTCAACAATTCTTCATCTTCACTTTACCTCCCTTTACCTTTCTTCGTTTTTTCCTAGCCATTGGATTCAGAGAGAATTATTCAACTTTTAAACTTCAAACTTGCTAGATCTATATTTAACTATGTCTATTGTTCTCTTCAGAGCATCTGTTGAGTTTTTAATCCAAGAGCTATTATCAGTATTTTCTAAAATGCAACCTCTTCTTGCATGTCTCTGAAGATATGAATTACACTTACTGTAATTACATTTGTTTCTTGTCTTAATTCTGATTCTCTGAAATTACTTATTCTGTTTGCTAAGTTTTGTATTTTGTATCTTCTTTCTTGTTTTTCTTAAAAGTTGGGTGACAATATTTTACATGGGTAGTTTTTCTGTTAATCATAGCTTATCTCCAATGATTAGGAAAATAACAACTATGAAGTAGGACAAAGTAACCTGGGTTCTTGTGTTTTAGCATTGCTGCTCCCTGTTCCTTCTTGGTTTTGTTAATTACCTGAGACTCTGCCCTGTTGATGTTAGTCAGATTCTAAGACTCACCTTGCCAAGCAAGCACTGCTTTGTTATTCCAAAGTGAAGTTCATTCTTACTTTGTCTGGAAAGCAGTCTCTGCATCTTTTACCTCATTATTTCCCTCCTTTCATATTATGTTTCTTCCTTTACCAATTTTAATGCAGCTTCCCCTTTTTCGTCTCTAAGATCTCCTTCTCTATCTCAAAAACAAAACAAAAAAACATTATCAGCATTAACAAATACAACAGAGAGCTTCATTGATGTGGTTTGGCTGTGTCCCCACCCAAATCTCATCTTGAATTCCCATACATTGTGGGAGGAACCTAGTGGGAGGTAATTGAATCATGGAGGTAGGCTTTTCCTGTGCTGTTTTCCTGATAGTGAATAAGTCTCATGAGGTCTGATGGTTATTATAAGGGGGAGTTTTCCTGCACAAGCTCTCTTTGCCTGCTGCCATCCATGTAAGATGTGACTTGCTCCTCTTTGCCTTCCACCATGATTGTGAGGCTTCCCCAGCTACATGAAACTGTAAGTCCAATTAAACCTTTTTTCTTTTGTCAATTGCCCAGTCTTGGGTATGTCTTTATCAGCAGCATTAAAACAGACTAATACAGTAAACGGGTATCAGTAGAGTGGGATGCTGCTGAAAAGATACCTGAAAATGTGGAAGGAATTTTGGAACTAGGTAACAGGCAGGGGTTGGAACAGTTTGAAGGGCTCAGCAGAAGACAGGAAAATGCAGGAAAGTTTGGAACTTCCTAGAGACGTTTTGAATGGCTTTGACCAAAACGCTGATAATGATGTGAACAATGAGATCCAGGCTGATGTGGTCTCAGATGGATTTGAGGAACTTGTTAGAAACTAGAGCAAAGTTGATTCTTGTTATGTTTTAGCAAAGAGACTGGCAGCGTTTTGCCCGTGCCCTAAAGATTTGTGAAATTTAGAACTTGAGAGATGAATTAGGGTATCTGACAGAAGAAATTTCTAAACAGCAAAGCATTGAAGAATTGACTTGGGTTCTTTTAAAGGCATTCAGTTTATAAGGCAAGCAGAGCATAAAAGTTCAGAAAATTTGCAGCCTGACAATGTGATAGAAGAGAAAAACCCATTTTCTGAGGAGAAATTTAAGCTGGCTGCAGAAATTTGCATAAGTAACGAGGAACCGAATGTCAATCCCAAGACAATGGTGAAAATGTCTCCTGGGCATGTCAGAATTCTTCACAGCAGCCCTTCCCATCACAGTCTCAGAGGCCTAGAAGAAAATGGTTTCACTGGGCCCAGGGTCCCCATGCTGTGTGCAGTGTAGGGTGTTGGTGCCCTGCATCCCAGTCACTCCAGCTGTGACTAAAAGGGACCAAAGTACAGCTTGAGCTGTTGCTTCAGAGGGTGGAAGCCCCAAGCCTTGTCAGCTTCCACGTGGTGTTGAGCCTGTGGGTGCACAGAAATCAAGAATTGAGGTTTGGGAACATCTGCTTAGATTTCAGAAGATATATCGAAACACCTGGATGCCCATGCAAAAGTTTGCTGCAGTGATGGGGCCCTCATTGACAACCTCTGCTAGGGCAGTGAGGAAGGGAAATGTTGGGTGGGAGCCCCCACACAGAGTCCCTATTGGGGCACCGCCTGGTGGACCTGTGGGAAGAGGGCCACCATCCTCCAGACCTCAGAATGTTAGATCCACCAACAGCACCATGTGCCTGGGAAAGCCACAGACACTCAACACCAGCCCACAAAAGCAGCCAGAAGGCAGGCTATATCCCGCAAAGCCACAGGGGCAGAGCTGCCCAATACCATGGGAACCCACCTCTTGCATCAGCATGATCAGGATGTGAGACATGGAGTCAAAGGAGATCATTTTGGAGCTTTAAGATTTGGCTGCCCCTCTGGATTTCTGACTTGCATGGCGTCAAGAAATGAAAAGCATAAAAATTGAAAAGTGAAAGAAAAAATATTTTTATTCACAGAACATATATATGTATATTGTGTATGAAGAAAATCCTAATATATTTATTTAAAAAGCTGTGAATAATAAGAATCAAATTCAATAATGGTGCAGAATGTGTAGAATGAAAGGTCAATACACAAAATACAATATGTAAAATTAATGGAATTTCTAAATACTAGAAATAAACAATTGAGAATACATTTAAAAGTAAAATTTTAGTGGTATAAAAATAGTTAAGAATAATTTAAGTGAAACATTTAAAAATCTTTCACACTAAAACTTTTTAAAATTTCATGTAGAAAAACATTACAGAAGACCTAAATAAATGTAAAGATCTACCATGTTCATAGATTTGAAGATGCAACATTGTTTGATGTGAATTCTCTGGAAGTTAATCTTTAGAATCAATGCAGTAGGGGCTGGGCGCGGTTGCTCATGCCTGTAATCCCAGCACTTTGGGAGGCCAAGGTGGGCGGATCACAAGGTCAGGAGATCAAGATTATACTGGCTAACACGATAAAACCCTGTCTCTACTAAAAAAAATACAAAAAAATTAGCCAGGCATGGTGGCATGGGCCTGTAGTCCCAGCTACTCAGGAGGCTGAGGCAGGATAATTGCTTGAATCTGGGAGGCTGAGGTTGCAGTGAGCCGAGATTGTGCCACTGCACTCCAACCTGGATGACAAGGTGAGATTCTGTCTCAAAAAAAAAAAAAAAAAAAAAAGCATCAATGCAATCTATATAGTTTGTAATTTATTGACTACAATGAATTCTATATCTATTTACTACAACTCTGTAGTAAATTGTGGCAAACATTTTGAGAGAAATTCACAAGCTGTTTCCAAAATTTGTTTGGAAAATTCATAGGACCTAGAATTTTGAGAAAAAAATAGAGCCAATTTTCAGACATCTAAGAAAGCTGCAGTATCAAAACATCATAACACAAAAATAATAAGGATAAAGAAGGGTTCAAAATTAGACCTCCACCTATGCAGTAAATTAAATGTTTATAAGGGCATGTAGATAGTTCAGTGGGGAAAGTAAGTCTTTAACAAAGGCTTTTGAAATAAGTGCATTCTCATATTAAAAAAATACATGCATCAGTCCTTTGTATACACAAAACTAATCCAATATTTTTAATGTAGGCATAAAAATGAAAAAGCAAAATTCAGAAAGCTTTTAAAAGAAAAAAATTGAACAATATCTGCGAGCTATTATAATAGGAAAAACATTTCTGAACAGAGAAAGCACTATCATAAGAGTAAAAATTGATAAATTGTAGATATTAATTAAAAATGTATCCTAATAAAACTGCAAAATGTAAGAAAATATAATTTTAAGCCATAGACTGTGATAAATTATTCCATATATGTATGAGAAAAAAATTGCGTGTTCAAAACGCACAGAGTACTCCTGAGATCCACTAAATAGTTATAAGAATCTTGAACAGGTATTTCACAAAACAAGAGATACAAGTGGCTTATAGGAATGTGAAAAGATGCTCAATATTATTAGGTAAGGGGAAATGCAACCAAAATGCATTGAAACTGGAAAGACTAACATTTAAAATGATAATACTATATTGGCAAATATGTGGGGAAACTAGAAGTCGTGTCTATTTCTTGTGAGAGTGTAAAATAGAACAACCGGCTGGGCGCGGTGGCTCATGCCTGTAATCCCAGCACTTTGGGGGGCCGAGGCGGGCGGATCACGGGGTCATGAGATCGAGACTATCCTGGCTAACATGGTGAAACCCCGTCTCTACTAAAAATACACACACAAAAAAAAAAATTAGCCGGGTGTGGTGGCGGGCGCCTGTAGTCCCAACTCATCAGGAAGCTGCGGCAGGAGAATGGCGTGAACCTGAGAAGTGGAGCTTGCGGTGAGCCCAGATCACGCCAGTGCACTCCAGCCTGGGCGACAGCGCGAGACTGTGTCTCAAAAAAAAAAAAAAAAAAAGCGGAACAACCGCTTTGAAAAATAATTTGCTTCTCAATAAGGCCAACATACATCTACCCTATAGCACAGCAATTTCAATTCTAGAAATTTATCCAACAAAAATGAAAGCATATATTTACACAAAAACCTGTTTGAGAATGCACCTAAGTCCTTTATTTGTAAAAGCTAATTCTGAAAGCAATCTGAATATTCACTAACAGACTAATGAATAAGCAAACTCTGACAAATACATAGGCAACTCAGAAATATGAGGAAAAATAAATGATACACACAAATATTTGGCTAAATCTCAAATATTTATTTATGCTAAAGAAAATAAACCAGATACACACTCACACACACATCCTGTAGGAATTCTAATTATTGGAATTTGAAGATGAACAAAATCAATCATGATAGAAATTATAAGGGTTTAATCCGAGTTATTTGGGATGCTGAAGCCGGAGAATCGCTTGAACCCGGGAGGCGGAGGTTGCAGTGAGCTCACATTGTACCACTGCACTCTAGCCTGGGTAACAGAGTAAGACTACGTCTTAAAACAAACAAACAAACCAAAGAAATTATACAGGTTTGCCTCTGAAGAAGAGAAGAGAAGTTTGAATAAGCACAATAGTATTTTCTAGATTTAGTGTAATTAGGTAAATATATCAATTTATAAAATGTACGAAACTACATTTTTGACATGTTTATTATATTTAAAATATAGCGCAATAAAATAAGGTTAGGAAATGATTGCATATTACTCTCTGAGAGGAAGAATGTTATCTGTTGGTAGAATTAATAACGTTACTCATTTCTTATAAGAAGTAAAGATATATTGGCCGGGCGCAGTGGCTCGCGCCTATAATCCCAGCACTTTGGGAGGCTGAGGCAGGCGGATCACAATGTCAGGAGATTGAGACCATCCTGGCTAACACGGTGAAACCCCATCGCTACTAAAAATACAAAAAATAAGACGGGAGTGGTGGCGGGCACCTGTAGTCCCAGCTATTCAGGAGGCTGAGGTAGGAGAATGGCGTGAACTCGGGAGGCAGAGCTTGCAGTGAGCCGAGATCATGTCACTGCACTACAATCTGGGCTGCAGAGTGAGACTCCGTCTCAAAAAAAAAGAAAAAAGAAGTAAAGATATGTCTATTAACCTGTATAGGTATATATAAGCTAAAAATAACCATTCAACTTTTGTGGGCAAAGTAGTCTGTGTCAGGCATTTTTGTATAAATCATAAACATTTAATTCTCATTCAAATAATAAATATATTATCTCACGGTTATAAAGGTATAATAAGTACAATTTTAAAAAATAGACTAACTTTTCTGAATATTTCCAGTACAGTGGTATATCATTTTTTTCCAATAGAATAAATAGAAAAATACTCAAACTCTGGGTAATATTTTGCAGAAAATGAATTAGTTACACTTATTCAAGTTGAATTATTCTAGTTCCTCAATTTTATATTCCAGAAAAATATATGCTGACTATATTTTTAATGCTTTTTTTATTAGAGAAGTTTGTTTATTGATATGTACATCGCTTTTACTAATTCAGTTTTGAGCAAGGTGTGACTCTTTATTCAATTTTCCAAAGAGTTCCAAACCAAAACTTGTGGATTTCCAGTTGATCTGTATATCACCTTGCCACCTCTGGCTTTTTTCTCTCTAATACAGGTATAAGAATAACATTTAACAATAAATGATTTGTGAAGCCAATTGAAAAATGTTCATGCTATATTAATCAACTTGATAAAATGCATTAAATTTATGAATTTCTACAGGTTTGTTAGTGCCTGGAATCTATAGGTAGAGACACCCATAAAAAAGTCTTATAATATAAGATATATAACTTAGTGAAAAATCAATAAGGCATACTAATGTTTGCATAGGATGACAACCTGGTCATATTAATTTTTCTGAGAAAATAATCTCAAATGAAAAATCACTTCCCTAAAGCATTATTTGTTTTTATATCAGATTTATTTCAGTTCAACCAACATTTATTGCATGCTGTAAGTATTAGATATTGTGATTGGTCCTGGGAATGCTAAGATAAAAATTTCTCCTTTTCTAACCTTGAATTCACAGAGAGGTAGAAGCAAGAGAAGCATAAACATATAATTTCAATGCAATATGGTATGTAAAATGATAGTGGTACTTTTTCTGAATTTTCCGATATCAATTATTTATTTATAAACAGTTCTTTAGAGGGTGATTTATTTTCTCTATAGACATCAACAAGATACACTTGCCTTGTATGGCAAAAATAAATTAATTTTAGCTTTGTGCAGATACATCCTATTGAGTTACAAAGTGATGCTATCAAACACCATTGACAACAACAAATTCAGGATTTATGGCTCTCTTTGTCTCTGTTTCTCTCTCCTCTCTCTCTCTCTGTGTATATATATACATATATGTATATTATACATATATAGTTTAGGATACATGTGTATTTATATATAATTTTATTTTTTAGAACAAAATTAAAAATAAAGTGTCTTTAATCGAAAGTCTGTGGTTGTAACATAATCTTATGACATCAGCATTAAAAAGGCTATTCAGAACACTTCCTCAAATTGAAACTATTACCAATACTGAGTTAAATATTTTAGGACTACTTCATTATCTAGGAAATTTGAGAAGCAAATTAACTCTTTGCTCAGAGTATTGTGATACCATATCTTTTCTTGTAAAATAAGATATTGTTTAATTATAAAATATTGTCAAATTTCTGAAAAAGTGTTTATATAAGTGTTAGGAATATGTTTAGCCCTGGGAGCCATGTGTTATTTATCATTGTACAGATCTTCTTGCTGACACAACTGGGTATGGTAGACGGCCTGATAGGATTAACTGCAAGTAAAGCAGAAATTATTAAAAACAATATTGAGGCCAGGCAAGGTGGCTCACGCCTGTAATTCCAGCACTTTGGGAGGTCGAGGTGGGTGGATCACGAGGTGAGGCGTTCAAGACTAGCCTGACCAAGATGGTGAAACCCCGTCTTTACTAAAAATACAAAATTACGTGGGCATGGTGGTGGGTTCCTGTAATCCCAGGCTGAGGAAGATAATTGCTTGAGCCCAGAAGGTGGAGGTGGAGGTTGCAGTGAGTCGAGATCACACCACTGCACTCTAGCCTGGGTGACAGAGTAAGACAACGTCTCAAAAACAAAAACAAAACAAACAAACAAACAAACAAAAATTAAATTAACTGGATGTTAAATGTGGTTTCTTTACATTTACCAGAATTTCAGCCAAGGTCCTAATGGCCCCAAATAATAGGTGCTACATTATCAAGCAGATATATCAAGAGATTGTGATAATGTTAATGAAACCCCTTTGCTCATCACTCATTTCCAAAATTTATATTTTCAAAGGGAATTTTGTACAGAGTTCCTAAAAAAAGGGATCATGATGTCAGTGTATTGCCTCACTGATTGCTAAATGA